>NC_000017.11:25684902-25735946 GCF_000001405.40 Homo sapiens | reverse complement strand
GAAGCATTCTCAGAAACTGCTTTGTGATGATTGCATTCACCTCACAGAGTTGAACATTCCTATTGATAGAGCATTTTTTTTTTTCTCTCCCCTCCCCTCCCTTTCCTTTCCATTCCTTTCCTTTCCTTTCCTTTCCTTTCCTTTCCTTTCCTTTCCTTTCCTTTCCTTTCCTTTCCTTTCCTTTCCTTTCCTTTCCTTTCCTTTCCTTTTCCTTTCCTTTCCTTTCCTTTTCTTGAGACAGGGTCTTGCTTTTTCACCCAGGCTGGAGTGTGGTGGCACAATTTCAGCTCACTGCAGCCTTTGCCTTCCATTTTAGGTTCAAGGGATTCTTGTGCTTCAGCCTCCCAAGTTTTTGAGCTGCAGATGTACACCACCACATTTTTTTATTTTTTGTATTTTTAGTAGAGACATGGTTTTTCCATTTTGGCAAGGTTGTTTTCGAATTCTTGACCTCAAGTGATTTGCTCACCTCAGCCTCCCAACTTTTTTTTATTACAGTTTTTCTCTCTAGTATTTAGGTGAAGATATATCCTTTTCCACCACAAACCACAAAGCCCTCCAAACGTCCACTTGCAGATTCTAGAAAAAGAGTGTTTCATAGCTGCTCTTTCCAAAGGAAAGTTCAACTCTGGGAGTTGAATACAAACATCACCAAAAAGTTCCTGAGAATGCATCTGTCTAGTTTTTCTATGAAGCTATTCCCTTTACTACCATAGACCTCAAAGCGCTCCAAATCTCCACTTGCACATTCCACAACAAGAGTGTTTCCAAACTGCTCTATCAATAGGAATGTTCAACTCTGTGAGGTGAATGCAATCATCACAAAGCAGTTTCTGAGAATGCTTCCGTTTAGTTAGGTGCAGTTATCCCGTTTCCATCGAAATCCTCAGAGAGGTCCAAATATCCACTTGTAGATTCTACAAAAAGTGTGTCTCAAACCTGCTCCATCCAAAGGAATGTTCAGCTCTGTGAGTTAAACTCAATCATCACAAAGTATTTTCTGAGAATGCTTCTGTCTAGATTTTATGCGAAGATATACCCGTTTCGAACGAAGGCCACAGAGTGGTCCAAATAGCCACTTGCAGATCCTACAAAAAGAGTGTTTCAAACCTGAACTATCAAAGGAAGGTTCAACTCTGGGATTTGAATGCAAACATCACCAAGAAGTTTCTGAGAATGCTTCTGTTTAGTTTTTATGTGAAGATATTCCCGTTTCCAAAGACATCTTCGGAGAGGTCCACATATCCACTTGCAGATTCCACAAAAAGAGAGTTTCAACACTGCTCTATCCATAGGAGGGTTCAACTCTGTGAGTTGAATGCAATCATCACAGAGAAGTTTCCTGAGAAGGCTTCTCTCCAGTTTTTATGTGACCATAATTCGTTTTCCACCACAGGCCTGAAAGCGCTCCAAATGTCCACTTGCAGACACTACGAAAAGCATGTTTCAGAACTACTCTATGAAAAGCAACGTGAAACTCTGGGAGTTGAACACAAACATCACAGAGAAGTTTCTGAGAATGCTTCTGTTTAGCTTTTCTGTGAAGATTCTCCCGTTTCCAACGAAATCTTCAAAGAGGTCCAAACATCCACTTGCAGATTCCACAGAAAGAGTGTTTGGAAACTGCTGTTTGAAAAGGAACCTTCAACTCTGTGAGTTGAATACAATCATCACAAAGAAGTTTCTGACAATGCTTCTATCCAGCTTTTACGGGAAGATAATTCCTTTTCCACCACAGGCCTCAAAGCCCTCCAAATGTCCACTTGCAGATTCTGGAAAAAGAGTGTTTCAAAGCTTCTCTCTCGAAAGGAAAGTTCAACTCTGTGAGTTGAATGCAAGCATCACAAAGAAGTTTCTGAGAATGCTACTGTCTAGCTTTTCTATGAAGCTATTACCTTTACTACCATAGTCCTCAAAGCATTCCATATCTCCACTTGCAGATTCTACACAAAGAGAGTTTCCAAACTGCTCTGTCAAAGGGAATGTTCAGCTCTGTGACTTGAATGCAATCATCACAAAGTAGTTTCTCAGAATGCTTTTGTTTTAGTTCTGTGCGGTTTATCCCATTTCCAACGAAATCCTTAGAGAGGCCCAAATATCCACTTGCAGATTCTACAAAGAGTGTGTTTCGAAACTGCTCCATCCAAAGGAATGTTCAGCTCTGTGAGTTAAACTCAGTCGTCACCAAGAGTTTTCTGTGAATGCTTCTGTTTAGTTCTGTGCGGTTTATCACGTTTCCAACGAAATCCTCAGAGAGGACCAAATATCCACTTGCAGTTTCTACAAAAAGAGTGTTTCAAAGCTGAACTATCAAAGAAAGGTTCAGCACTGTGTGTTGAATGCAAACATCACGAAGAGGGTTCTGAGAATGCTTCTGTCTTCTTTGTATAGGAAGTTATTTCCTTTACTACGGTAGGCCTCAAAGAAGTGCAATTATCCCCTTGCAGTTTCTACAAAAAGAGTGTTTCAAACCTGAACTATCAAAGAAAGGTGCCACACTGTGAGTTGAATGCAGACATCACGAAGAAGATTCTGAGAATGCTTCTGTTTAGTCAGCTGAAATTATCCCGTTTCCAACGAATTCCTCAGAGAGGTCCAAATATGCACTTGCAGATTCTGCAGAAAGTGTGTTTCTAAACTGCTCCATCGCAAGGAATGTTCAGCTCTGTGAGTTCAACTCAATCATCCCAAAGAATTTTCTGAGAAAGCTTCTGTCTAGATGTCATGTGAAGATATACCCGTTTCAAACGAAGGACACAGAGTGGTCCAAATATCCACTTGTAGATCCTGCAAAAAGAGTGTTTCAAACGTGAACTTTGAAAGGAAAGTTCAACTCTGGGATTTGAATGCAAACATCACAAAGAAGATTCTGAGACTGCTTCTGTATAGTTTTTATGTGAAGATGATTCCGTTTCCAACGAAATCTTCAAAGAGGTCTACATGTCCCCTTGCAGATGCCACAGAAAGAGAGTTTCAAAACTGCGCTCTCAAAAGGAGTGTTCAACTCCGTGAGTTGAATGCAGTCATCACAGAGAAGCTTCTGAGAATGCTTCTATCTAGTATTTAGGTGAAGATATTTCCTTTTCCACCACAAACCACAAAGCCCTCCAAACGTCCACTTGCAGATTCTAGAAAAAGAGTGTTTCATAGCTGCTCTTTCTAAAGGAAAGTTCAACTCTGGGAGTTGAATACAAACATCACCAAAAAGTTCCTGAGAATGCATCTGTCTAGTTTTTCTATGAAGCTATTCCCTTTACTACCATAGGCCTCAAAGCGCTCCAAATCTCCACTTGCACATTCCACAACAAGAGTGTTTCCAAACTGCTCTATCAATAGGAATGTTCAACTCTGTGAGGTGAATGCAATCATCACAAAGCAGTTTCTGAGAATGCTTACGTTTAGTTAGGTGTATTTATCCCGTTTCCAACGAAATCCTCAGAGAGGTCCAAATATCCACTTGTAGATTCTACAAAAAGTGTGTCTCAAACCTGCTCCATCCAAAGGAATGTTCAGCTCTGTGAGTTCAACTCAATCATCACAAAGTATTTTCTGAGAATGCTTCTGTCTAGATTTTATGCGAAGATGTACCCGTTTCGAACGAAGGCCACAGAGTGGTCCAAATATCCACTTGCAGATCCTACAAAAAGAGTGTTTCAAACCTGAACTCTCAAAGGAAGGTTCAACTCTGGGATTTGAATGCAAACATCACCAAGAAGTTTCTGAGAATGCTTCTGTTTAGTTTTTATGTGAAGATATTCCCGTTTCCAAAGACATCTTCGGAGAGGTCCACATATCCACTTGCAGATTCCACAAAAAGAGAGTTTCAACACTGCTCTGACCATAGGAGGGTTCAACTCAGTGAGTTGAATGCAATCATCACAGAGAAGTTTCTGAGAAGGCTTCTCTCCAGTTTTTATGTGACCATAATTCGTTTTCCACCACAGGCCTGAAAGCGCTCCAAATGTCCACTTGCAGACACTACGAAAAGCATGTTTCAGAACTACTCTATGAGAAGCAATGTGAAACTCTGGGAGTTGAACACAAACATCACAGAGAAGTTTCTGAGAATGCTTCTGTTTAGCTTTTCTGTGAAGATTCTCCCGTTTCCAACGAAATCTTCAAAGAGGTCCAAATATCCACTTGCAGATTCCACAGAAAGAGTGATTGGAAACTGCTCTTTGAAAAGGAACCTTCAACTCTGTGACTTGAATGCAATCATCACAAAGAAGTTTCTGACAATGCTTCTATCTAGCTTTTACGGGAAGATAATTCCTTTTCCACCACAGGCCTCAAAGCCCTCCAAATGTCCACTTGCAGATTCTGGAAAAAGAGTGTTTCAAAGCTTCTCTCTCGAAAGGAAAGTTCAACTCTGTGAGTTGAATGCAAGCATCACAAAGAAGTTTCTGAGAATGCTTACTGTCTAGCTTTTATATGAAGCTATTTCCTTTACTACCATAGGCCTCAAAGCGGTCCATATCTCCACTTGCAGATTCTACACAAAGAGAGTTTCCAAACTGCTCTGTCAAAGGGAATGTTCAACTCTGTGACTTGAATGCAATCATCACAAAGTAGTTTCTGAGAATGCTTCTGTTTAGTTCTGTGCGGTTTATCCCGTTTCCAACGAAATCCTCAGAGAGGCCCAAATATCCACTTGCACATTCTACAAATAGTGTGTTTCGAAACTGCTCCATCCAAAGGAATGTTCAGCTCTGTGAGTTAAACTCAGTCGTCACCAAGAGTTTTCTGTGAATGCTTCTGTTTTAGTTCTGTGCGGTTTATCCCGTTTCCAACGAAATCCTCAGCAGAGGTCCAAATATCTACTTGCAGTTTCTACAGAAAGACCGTTTCAAACCTGAACTATCAAAGAAAGGTTCAACACTGTGAGTTGAATGCAAACATCACGAAGAAGGTTCTGAGAATGCTTCTGTTTAGTTCTGTGAGGTTTATCCCGTTTCCAACGAAATCCTCAGAGAGGAACAAGTATCCACTTGCAGTTTCTACAAAAAGAGTGTTTCAAAGCTGAACTATCAAAGAAAGGTTCAGCACTGTGAGTTGAATGCAAACATCACGAAGAGGGTTCTGAGAATGCTTCTGTCTTCTTTTTATAGGAAGTTATTTCCTTTACTGTGGTAGGCCTCAAGGAAGTGCAATTATCCCCTTGCAGTTTGTACAAAAAGAGTGTTTCAAACCTGCACTATCAAAGAAAGGTTCCACACTGTGAGTTGAATGCAGACATCACGAAGAAGGTTCTGAGTATGTTTCTGTTTAGTCAGCTGAAATTATCCCGTTTCCAACGAATTCCTCACAGAGGTCCAAATATGCACTTGCAGATTCTGCAGAAAATGTGTTTCTAAACTGCTACATCGCAAGGAATGTTCAGCTCTGTGAGTTCAACTCAATCATCCCAAAGAATTTTCTGAGAAAGCTTCTGTCTAGATGTCATGTGAAGATATACCCGTTTCGAACGAAGGACACAGAGTGGTCCAAATATCCACTTGTAGATCCTGCAAAAAGAGTGTTTCAAACGTGAACTTTGAAAGGAAAGTTCAACTCGGGGATTTGAATGCAAACATCACAAAGAAGATTCTGAGACTGCTTCTGTATAGTTTTTATGTGAAGATGATTCCGTTTCCAACGAAATCTTCAAAGAGGTCTACATGTCCCCTTGCAGATGCCACAGAAAGAGAGTTTCAAAACTGCGCTCTCAAAAGGAGTGTTCAACTCCGTGAGTTGAATGCAGTCATCACAGAGAAGCTTCTGAGGATGCTTCTATCTAGTATTTAGGTGAAGATATTTCCTTTTCCACCACAAACCACAAAGCCCTCCAAACGTCCACTTGCAGATTCTAGAAAAACAGTGTTTCATAGCTGCTCTTTCCAAAGGAAAGTTCAACTCTGGGAGTTGAATACAAACATCACCAAAAAGTTCCTGAGAATGCATCTGTCTTGTTTTTCTATGAAGCTCTTCCCTTTACTACCATAGGCCTCAAAGCGCTCCAAATCTCCACTTGCACATTCCACAACAAGAGTGTTTCCAAACTGCTCTATCAATAGGAATGTTCAACTCTGTGAGGTGAATGCAATCATCACAAAGCAGTTTCTGAGAAGGCTTCCGTTTAGTTAGGTGCAGTTATCCCGTTTCCAACGAAATCCTCAGAGAGGTCCAAATATCCACTTGTAGATTCTACAAAAAGTGTGTCTCAAACCTGCTCCATCCAAAGGAATGTTCAGCTCTGTGAGTTCAACTCAATCATCACAAAGTATTTTCTGAGAATGCTTCTGTCTAGATTTTATGCGAAGATATACCCGTTTCGAACGAAGGCCACAGAGTGGTCCAAATAGCCACTTGCAGATCCTACAAAAAGAGTGTTTCAAACCTGAACTATCAAAGGAAGGTTCAACTCTGGGATTTGAATGCAAACATCACCAAGAAGTTTCTGAGAATGCTTCTGTTTAGTTTTTATGTGAAGATATTCCCGTTTCCAAAGACATCTTCGGAGAGGTCCACATATCCACTTGCAGATTCCACAAAAAGAGAGTTTCAACACTGCTCTATCCATAGGAGGGTTCAACTCTGTGAGTTGAATGCAATCATCACAGAGAAGTTTCTGAGAAGGCTCTCTCCAGTTTTTATGTGACCATAATTCGTTTTCCACCACAGGCCTGAAAGCGCTCCAAATGTCCACTTGCAGACACTACGAAAAGCATGTTTCAGAACTACTCTATGAAAAGCAACGTGAAACTCTGGGAGTTGAACACAAACATCACAGAGAAGTTTCTGAGAATGCTTCTGTTTAGCTTTTCTGTGAAGATTCTCCCGTTTCCAACGAAATCTTCAAAGAGGTCTAAATATCCACTTGCAGATTCCACAGAAAGAGTGTTTGGAAACTGCTGTTTGTAAAGGAACCTTCATCTCTGTGAGTTGAATGCAATCATCACAAAGAAGTTTCTGACAATGCTTCTATCTAGCTTTTACGGGAAGATAATTCCTTTTCCACCACAGGCCTCAAAGCTCCCCAAATGTCCACTTGCACATTCTGGAAAAAGAGTGTTTCAAAGCTTCTCTCTCGAAAGGAAAGTTCAACTCTGTGAGTTGAATGCAAGCATCACAAAGAAGTTTCTGAGAATGCTACTGTCTAGGTTTTATATGAAGCTATTTCCTTTACTACCATAGGCCTCAAAGCGGTCCATATCTCCACTTGCAGATTCTACACAAAGAGAGTTTCCAAACTGCTCTGTCAAAGGGAATGTTCAACTCTGTGACTTGAATGCAATAATCACAAAGTAGTTTCTGAGAATGCTTCTGTTTAGTTCTGTGCGATTTACCCGTTTCCAACGAAATCCTCAGAGAGGCCCACATATCCACTTGCAGATTCTACAAATAGTGTGTTTCGAAACTGCTCCATCCAAAGGAATGTTCAGCTCTGTGAGTTAAACTCAGTCGTCACCAAGAGTTTTCTGTGAATGCTTCTGTTTTAGTTCTGTGCGGTTTATCCCGTTTCCAACGAAATCCTCAGAGAGGTCCAAATATCTACTTGCAGTTTCTACAGAAAGATCGTTTCAAACCTGAACTATCAAAGAAAGGTTCAACACTGTGAGTTGAATGCAAACATCACGAAGAAGGTTCTGAGAATGCTTCTGTTTAGTTCTGTGCGGTTTATCCCGTTTCCAACGAAATCCTCAGAGAGGACCAAATATCCACTTGCAGTTTCTACAAGAAGAGTGTTTCAAAGCTGAACTATCAAAGAAAGGTTCAGCACTGTGAGTTGAATGCAAACATCACGAAGAGGGTTCTGAGAATGCTTCTGTCTTCTTTCTATAGGAAGTTATTTCCTTTACTACGGTAGGCCTCAAAGAAGTGCAATTATCCCCTTGCAGTTTCTACAAAAAGAGTGTTTCAAACCTGAACTATCAAAGAAAGGTTCCACACTGTGAGTTGAATGCAGACATCACGAAGAAGTTCTGAGAATGCTTCTGTTTAGTCAGCTGAAATTATCCCGTTTCCAACGAATTCCTCAGAGAGGTCCAAATATGCACTTGCAGATTCTGCAGAAAGTGTGTTTCTAAACTGCTACATCGCAAGGAATGTTCAGCTCTGTGAGTTCCACTCAATCATCCCAAAGAATTTTCTGAGAAAGCTTCTGTCTAGATGTCGTGTGAAGTTATACCCGTTTCGAACGAAGGACACAGAGTGGTCCAAATATCCACTTGTAGATCCTGCAAAAAGAGTGTTTCAAACGTGAACTTTGAAAGGAAAGTTCAACTCTGGGATTTGAATGCAAACATCACAAAGAAGATTCTGAGACTGCTTTCTGTATAGTTTTTATGTGAAGATGATTCCGTTTCCAGCGAAATCTTCAAAGAGGTCTACATGTCCCCTTGCAGATGCCACAGAAAGAGAGTTTCAAAACTGCGCTCTCAAAAGGAGTGTTCAACTCCGTGAGTTGAATGCAGTCATCACAGAGAAGCTTCTGAGAATGCTTCTATCTAGTATTTAGGTGAAGATATTTCCTTTTCCACCACAAACCACAAAGCCCTCCAAACGTCCACTTGCAGATTCTAGAAAAAGAGTGTTTCATAGCTGCTCTTTCCAAAGGAAAGTTCAACTCTGGGAGTTGAATACAAACATCACCAAAAAGTTCCTGAGAATGCATCTGTCTTGTTTTTCTATGAAGCTCTTCCCTTTACTACCATAGGCCTCAAAGCGCTCCAAATCTCCACTTGCACATTCCACAACAAGAGTGTTTCCAAACTGCTCTATCAATAGGAATGTTCAACTCTGTGAGGTGAATGCAATCATCACAAAGCAGTTTCTGAGAAGGCTTCCGTTTAGTTAGGTGCAGTTATCCCGTTTCCAACGAAATCCTCAGAGAGGTCCAAATATCCACTTGTAGATTCTACAAAAAGTGTGTCTCAAACCTGCTCCATCCAAAGGAATGTTCAGCTCTGTGAGTTCAACTCAATCATCACAAAGTATTTTCTGAGAATGCTTCTGTCTAGATTTTATGCGAAGATATACCCGTTTCGAACGAAGGCCACAGAGTGGTCCAAATAGCCACTTGCAGATCCTACAGAAAGAGTGTTTCAAACCTGAACTATCAAAGGAAGGTTCAACTCTGGGATTTGAATGCAAACATCACCAAGAAGTTTCTGAGAATGCTTCTGTTTAGTTTTTATGTGAAGATATTCCCGTTTCCAAAGACATCTTCGGAGAGGTCCACATATCCACTTGCAGATTCCACAAAAAGAGAGTTTCAACACTGCTCTATCCATAGGAGGGTTCAACTCTGTGAGTTGAATGCAATCATCACAGAGAAGTTTCTGAGAAGGCTTCTCTCCAGTTTTTATGTGACCATAATTCGTTTTCCACCACAGGCCTGAAAGCGCTCCAAATGTCCACTTGCAGACACTACGAAAAGCATGTTTCAGAACTACTCTATGAAAAGCAACGTGAAACTCTGGGAGTTGAACACAAACATCACAGAGAAGTTTCTGAGAATGCTTCTGTTTAGCTTTTCTGTGAAGATTCTCCCGTTTCCAACGAAATCTTCAAACTAGGTCCAAATATCCACTTGCAGATTCCACAGAAAGAGTGATTGGAAACTGCTGTTTGAAAAGGAACCTTCAACTCTGTGAGTTGAATGCAATCATCACAAAGAAGTTTCTGACAATGCTTCCATCTAGCTTTTACGGGAAGATAATTCCTTTTCCACCACAGGCCTCAAAGCCCTCCAAATGTCCACTTGCAGATTCTGGAAAAAGAGTGTTTCAAAGCTTCTCTCTCGAAAGGAAAGTTCAACTCTGTGAGTTGAATGGAAGCATCACAAAGAAGTTTCTGAGAATGCTACTGTCTAGCTTTTATATGAAGCTATTTCCTTTACTACCATAGGCCTCAAAGCGGTCCATATCTCCACTTGCAGATTCTACACAAAGAGAGTTTCCAAACTGCTCTGTCAAAGGGAATGTTCAACTCTGTGACTTGAATGCAATCATCACAAAGTAGTTTCTGAGAATGCTTCTGTTTAGTTCTGTGCGGTTTATCCCGTTTCCAACGAAATCCTCAGAGAGGCCCAAATATCCACTTGCACATTCTACAAATAGTGTGTTTCGAAACTGCTCCATCCAAAGGAATGTTCAGCTCTGTGAGTTAAACTCAGTCGTCACCAAGAGTTTTCTGTGAATGCTTCTGTTTTAGTTCTGTGCGGGTTATCCCGTTTCCAACGAAATCCTCAGAGAGGTCCAAATATCTACTTGCAGTTTCTACAGAAAGACCGTTTCAAACCTGAACTATCAAAGAAAGGTTCAACACTGTGAGTTGAATGCAAACATCACGAAGAAGGTTCTGAGAATGCTTCTGTTTTAGTTCTGTGTGGTTTATCCCGTTTCCAACGAAATCCTCAGAGAGGACCAAATATCCACTTGCAGTTTCTACAAAAAGAGTGTTTCAAAGCTGCACTATCAAAGAAAGGTTCAGCACTGTGAGTTGAATGCAAACATCACGAAGAGGGCTCTGAGAGTTCTTCTGTTTAGTTCTGTGCGGTTTATCCCGTTTCCAACGAAATCCTCAGAGAGGACCAAATATCCACTTGCAGTTTCTACAAGAAGAGTGTTTCAAAGCTGAACTATCAAAGAAAGGTTCAGCACTGTGAGTTGAATGCAAACATCAGGAAGAGGGTTCTGAGAATGCTTCTGTCTTCTTTCTATAGGAAGTTATTTCCTTTACTACGGTAGGCCTCAAAGAAGTGCAATTATCCCCTTGCAGTTTCTACAAAAAGAGTGTTTCAAACCTGAACTATCAAAGAAAGGTTCCACACTGTGAGTTGAATGCAGACATCACGAAGAAGGTTCTGAGAATGCTTCTGTTTAGTCAGCTGAAATTATCCCGTTTCCAACGAATTCCTCAGAGAGGTCCAAATATGCACTTGCAGATTCTGCAGAAAGTGTGTTTCTAAACTGCTACATCGCAAGGAATGTTCAGCTCTGTGAGTTCCACTCAATCATCCCAAAGAATTTTCTGAGAAAGCTTTCTGTCTAGATGTCGTGTGAAGATATACCCGTTTCGAACGAAGGACACAGAGTGGTCCAAATATCCACTTGTAGATCCTGCAAAAAGAGTGTTTCAAACGTGAACTTTGAAAGGAAAGTTCAACTCTGGGATTTGAATGCAAACATCACAAAGAAGATTCTGAGACTGCTTCTGTATAGTTTTTATGTGAAGATGATTCCGTTTCCAGCGAAATCTTCAAAGAGGTCTACATGTCCCCTTGCAGATGCCACAGAAAGAGAGTTTCAAAACTGCGCTCTCAAAAGGAGTGTTCAACTCCGTGAGTTGAATGCAGTCATCACAGAGAAGCTTCTGAGAATGCTTCTATCTAGTATTTAGGTGAAGATATTTCCTTTTCCACCACAAACCACAAAGCCCTCCAAACGTCCACTTGCAGATTCTAGAAAAAGAGTGTTTCATAGCTGCTCTTTCCAAAGGAAAGTTCAACTCTGGGAGTTGAATACAAACATCACCAAAAAGTTCCTGAGAATGCATCTGTCTAGTTTTTCTATGAAGCTATTCCCTTTACTACCATAGGCCTCAAAGCGCTCCAAATCTCCACTTGCACATTCCACAACAAGAGTGTTTCCAAACTGCTCTATCAATAGGAATGTTCAACTCTGGTGAGGTGAATGCAATCATCACAAAGCAGTTTCTGAGAATGCTTCCGTTTAGTTAGGTGCAGTTATCCCGTTTCCAACGAAATCCTCAGAGAGGTCCAAATATCCACTTGTAGATTCTACAAAAAGTGTGTCTCAAACCTGCTCCATCCAAAGGAATGTTCAGCTCTGTGAGTTAAACTCAATCATCACAAAGTATTTTCTGAGAATGCTTCTGTCTAGATTTTATGCGAAGATATACCCGTTTCGAACGAAGGCCACAGAGTGGTCCAAATATCCACTTGCAGATCCTACAAAAAGAGTGTTTCAAACCTGAACTATCAAAGGAAGGTTCGACTCTGGGATTTGAATGCAAACATCACCAAGAAGTTTCTGAGAATGCTTCTGTTTAGTTTTTATGTGAAGATATTCCCGTTTCCAAAGACATCTTCGGAGAGGTCCACATATCCACTTGCAGATTCCACAAAAAGAGAGTTTCAACACTGCTCTATCCATAGGAGGGTTCAACTCTGTGAGTTGAATGCAATCATCACAGAGAAGTTTCTGAGAAGGCTCTCTCCAGTTTTTATGTGACCATAATTCGTTTTCCACCACAGGCCTGAAAGCGCTCCAAATGTCCACTTGCAGACACTACGAAAAGCATGTTTCAGAACTACTCTATGAAAAGCAACGTGAAACTCTGGGAGTTGAACACAAACATCACAGAGAAGTTTCTGAGAATGCTTCTGTTTTAGTTCTGTGCGTTTTATCCCGTTTCCAACGAAATCCTCAGAGAGGCCCAAATATCCACTTGCAGATTCCACAGAAAGAGTGATTGGAAACTGCTGTTTGAAAAGGAACCTTCAACTCTGTGAGTTGAATGCAATCATCACAAAGAAGTTTCTGACAATGCTTCTGTTTTAGTTCTGTGCGGTTTATCCCGTTTCCAACGAAATCCTCAGAGAGGACCAAACATCCACTTGCAGTTTCTACAAAAAGAGTGTTTCAAAGCTGCACTATCAAAGAAAGGTTCAGCACTGTGAGTTGAATGCAAACATCACGAAGAGGGCTCTGAGAATGCTTCTGTTTAGTTCTGTGCGGTTTATCCCGTTTCCAACGAAATCCTCAGAGAGGACCAAATATCCACTTGCAGTTTCTACAAGAAGAGTGTTTCAAAGCTGAACTATCAAAGAAAGGTTCAGCACTGTGAGTTGAATGCAAACATCACGAAGAGGGTTCTGAGAATGCTTCTGTCTTCTTTCTATAGGAAGTTATTTCCTTTACTACGGTAGGCCTCAAAGAAGTGCAATTATCCCCTTGCAGTTTCTACAAAAAGAGTGTTTCAAACCTGAACTATCAAAGAAAGGTTCCACACTGTGAGTTGAATGCAGACATCACGAAGAAGGTTCTGAGAATGCTTCTGTTTAGTCAGCTGAAATTATCCCGTTTCCAACGAATTCCTCAGAGAGGTCCAAATATGCACTTGCAGATTCTGCAGAAAGTGTGTTTCTAAACTGCTACATCGCAAGGAATGTTCAGCTCTGTGAGTTCCACTCAATCATCCCAAAGAATTTTCTGAGAAAACTTCTGTCTAGATGTCATGTGAAGATATACCCGTTTCGAACGAAGGACACAGAGTGGTCCAAATATCCACTTGTAGATCCTGCAAAAAGAGTGTTTCAAACGTGAACTTTGAAAGGAAAGTTCAACTCTGGGATTTGAATGCAAACACCACAAAGAAGATTCTGAGACTGCTTCTGTATAGTTTTTATGCGAAGATGATTCCGTTTCCAACGAAATCTTCAAAGAGGTCAACATGTCCCCTTGCAGATGCCACAGAAAGAGAGTTTCAAAACTGCGCTCTCAAAAGGAGTGTTCAACTCCGTGAGTTGAATGCAGTCATCACAGAGAAGCTTCTGAGAATGCTTCTATCTAGTATTTAGGTGAAGATATTTCCTTTTCCACCACAAACCACAAAGCCCTCCAAACGTCCACTTGCAGATTCTAGAAAAAGAGTGTTTCATAGCTGCTCTTTCCAAAGGAAAGTTCAACTCTGGGAGTTGAATACAAACATCACCAAAAAGTTCCTGAGAATGCATCTGTCTAGTTTTTCTATGAAGCTATTCCCTTTACTACCATAGGCCTCAAAGCGCTCCAAATCTCCACTTGCACATTCCACAACAAGAGTGTTTCCAAACTGCTCTATCAATAGGAATGTTCAACTCTGTGAGGTGAATGCAATCATCACAAAGTAGTTTCTGAGAATGCTTCCGTTTAGTTAGGTGCAGTTATCGCGTTTCCAACGAAATCCTCAGAGAGGTCCAAATATCCACTTGTAGATTCTACAAAAAGTGTGTCTCAAACCTGCTCCATCCAAAGGAATGTTCAGCTCTGTGAGTTAAACTCAATCATCACAAAGTATTTTCTGAGAATGCTTCTGTCTAGATTTTATGCGAAGATATACCCGTTTCGAACGAAGGCCACAGAGTGGTCCAAATATCCACTTGGAGATCCTACAAAAAGAGTGTTTCAAACCTGAACTATCAAAGGAAGGTTCAACTCTGGGATTTGAATGCAAACATCACCAAGAAGTTTCTGAGAATGCTTCTGTTTAGTTTTTATGTGAAGATATTCCCGTTTCCAAAGACATCTTCGGAGAGGTCCACATATCCACTTGCAGATTCCACAAAAAGAGAGTTTCAACACTGCTCTATCCATAGGAGGGTTCAACTCTGTGAGTTGAATGCAATCATCACAGAGAAGTTTCTGAGAAGGCTTCTCTCCAGTTTTTATGTGACCATAATTCGTTTTCCACCACAGGCCTGAAAGCGCTCCAAATGTCCACTTGTAGACACTACGAAAAGCATGTTTCAGAACTACTCTATGAAAAGCAATGTGAAACTCTGGGAGTTGAACACAAACATCACAGAGAAGTTTCTGAGAATGCTTCTGTTTAGCTTTTCTGTGAAGATTATCCCGTTTCCAACGAAATCTTCAAAATAGGTCCAAATATCCACTTGCAGATTCCACAGAAAGAGTGATTGGAAACTGCTGTTTGAAAAGGAACCTTCAACTCTGTGAGTTGAATGCAATCATCACAAAGAAGTTTCTGACAATACTTCTATCTAGCTTTTACGGGAAGTTAATTCCTTTTCCACCACAGGCCTCAAAGCCCTCCAAATGTCCACTTGCAGATTCTGGAAAAAGAGTGTTTCAAAGCTTCTCTCTCGAAAGGAAAGTTCAACTCTGTGAGTTGAATGCAAGCATCACAAAGAAGTTTCTGAGAATGCTACTGTCTAGCTTGTCTATGAAGCTATTTCGTTTACTACCATAGTCCTCAAAGCATTCCATATCTCCACTTGCAGATTCTACACAAAGAGAGTTTCCAAACTGCTCTGTCAAAGGGAATGTTCAGCTCTGTGACTTGAATGCAATCATCACAAAGTAGTTTCTGAGAATGCTTCTGTTTAGTTCTGTGCGGTTTATCCCGTTTCCAACGAAATCCTCAGAGAGGCCCACATATCCACTTGCACATTCTACAAATAGTGTGTTTCGAAACTGCTCCATCCAAAGGAATGTTCAGCTCTGTGAGTTAAACTCAGTCGTCTCCAAGAGTTTTCTGTGAATGCTTCTGTTTTAGTTCTGTGCGGTTTATCCCGTTTCCAACGAAATCCTCAGAGAGCTCCAAATATCTACTTGCAGTTTCTACAGAAAGACCGTTTCAAACCTGAACTATCAAAGAAAGGTTCAACACTGTGAGTTGAATGCAAACATCACGAAGAAGGTTCTGAGAATGCTTCTGTTTAGTTCTGTGCGGTTTGTCCCGTTTCCAACGAAATCCTCAGAGAGGACCAAATATCCACTTGCAGTTTCTACAAAAAGAGTGTTTCAAAGCTGAACTATCAAAGAAAGGTTCAGCACCGTGAGTTGAATGCAAACATCACGAAGAGGGTTCTGAGAATGCTTCTGTCTTCTTTTTATAGGAAGTTATTTCCTTTACTACGGTAGGCCTCAAAGAAGTGCAATTATCCTCTTGCAGTTACTACAAAAAGAGTGTTTCAAACCTGAACTATCAAAGAAAGGTTCCACACTGTGAGTTGAATGCAGACATCACGAAGAAGGTTCTGAGAATGCCTCTGTTTAGTCAGCTGAAATTATCCCGTTTCCAACGAATTCCTCAGAGAGGTCCAAATATGCACTTGCAGATTCTGCAGAAAGTGTGTTTCTAAACTGCTCCATCGCAAGGAATGTTCAGCTCTGTGAGTTCCACTCAATCATCCCAAAGAATTTTGCTGAGAAAGCTTCTGTCTAGATGTCGTGTGAAGATATACCCGTTTCGAACGAAGGACACAGAGTGGTCCAAATATCCACTTGTAGATCCTGCAAAAAGAGTGTTTCAAACGTGAACTTTGAAAGGAAAGTTCAACTCTGGGATTTGAATGCAAACATCACAAAGAAGATTCTGAGACTGCTTCTGTATAGTTTTTATGTGAAGATGATTCCGTTTCCAACGAAATCTTCAAAGAGGTCTACATGTCCCCTTGCAGATGCCACAGAAAGAGAGTTTCAAAACTGCGCTCTCAAAAGGAGTGTTCAACTCCGTGAGTTGAATGCAGTCATCACAGAGAAGCTTCTGAGAATGCTTCTATCTAGTATTTAGGTGAAGATATTTCCTTTTCCACCACAAACCACAAAGCCCTCCAAACGTCCACTTGCAGATTCTAGAAAAAGAGTGTTTCATAGCTGCTCTTTCCAAAGGAAAGTTCAACTCTGGGAGTTGAATACAAACATCACCAAAAAGTTCCTGAGAATGCATCTGTCTAGTTTTTCTATGAAGCTATTCCCTTTACTACCATAGGCCTCAAAGCGCTCCAAATCTCCACTTGCACATTCCACAACAAGAGGGTTTCCAAACTGCTCTATCAATAGGAATGTTCAACTCTGTGAGGTGAATGCAATCATCACAAAGCAGTTTCTGAGAATGCTTCCGTTTAGTTAGGTGCAGTTATCGCGTTTCCAACGAAATCCTCAGAGAGGTCCAAATATCCACTTGTAGATTCTACAAATGTGTGTCTCAAACCTGCTCCATCCAAAGGAATGTTCAGCTCTGTGAGTTAAACTCAATCATCACAAAGTATTTTCTGAGAATGCTTCTGTCTGGATTTTATGCGAAGATATACCCGTTTCGAACGAAGGCCACAGAGTGGTCCAAATATCCACTTGCAGATCCTACAAAAAGAGTGTTTCAAACCTGAACTATCAAAGGAATGTTCAACTCTGGGATTTGAATGCAAACATCACCAAGAAGTTTCTGAGAATGCTTCTGTTTAGTTTTTATGTGAAGATATTCCCGTTTCCAAAGACATCTTCGGAGAGGTCCACATATCCACTTGCAGATTCCACAAAAAGAGAGTTTCAACACTGCTCTATCCATAGGAGGGTTCAACTCTGTGAGTTGAATGCAATCATCACAGAGAAGTTTCTGAGAAGGCTTCTCTCCAGTTTTTATGTGACCATAATTCGTTTTCCACCACAGGCCTGAAAGCGCTCCAAATGTCCACTTGCAGACACTACGAAAAGCATGTTTCAGAACTACTCTATGAAAAGCAATGTGAAACTCTGGGAGTTGAACACAAACATCACAGAGAAGTTTCTGAGAATGCTTCTGTTTAGCTTTTCTGTGAAGATTCTCCCGTTTCCAACGAAATCTTCAAAGAGGTCGAAATATCCACTTGCAGATTCCACAGAAAGAGTGATTGGAAACTGCTGTTTGAAAAGGAACCTTCAACTCTGTGAGTTGAATGCAATCATCACAAAGAAGTTTCTGACAATGCTTCTATCTAGCTTTTATGGGAAGATAATTCCTTTTCCACCACAGGCCTCAAAGCTCCCCAAATGTCCACTTGCACATTCTGGAAAAAGAGTGTTTCAAAGCTTCTCTCTCGAAAGGAAAGTTCAACTCTGTGAGTTGAATGCAAGCATCACAAAGAAGTTTCTGAGAATGCTACTGTCTAGCTTTTATATGAAGCTATTTCCTTTACTACCATAGGCCTCAAAGCGGTCCATATCTCCACTTGCAGATTCTACACAAAGAGAGTTTCCAAACTGCTCTGTCAAAGGGAATGTTCAACTCTGTGACTTGAATGCAATCATCACAAAGTAGTTTCTGAGAATGCTTCTGTTTAGTTCTGTGCGGTTTATCCCGTTTCCAACGAAATCCTCAGAGAGGCCTAAATATCCACTTGCACATTCTACAAATAGTGTGTTTCGAAACTGCTCCATCCAAAGGAATGTTCAGCTCTGTGAGTTAAACTCAGTCGTCACCAAGAGTTTTCTGTGAATGCTTCTGTTTTAGTTCTGTGCGGGTTATCCCGTTTCCAACGAAATCCTCAGAGAGGTCCAAATATCTACTTGCAGTTTCTACAGAAAGACCGTTTCAAACCTGAACTATCAAAGAAAGGTTCAACACTGTGAGTTGAATGCAAACATCACGAAGAAGGTTCTGAGAATGCTTCTGTTTTAGTTCTGTGCGGTTTATCCCGTTTCCAACGAAATCCTCAGAGAGGTCCAAATATCCACTTGCAGTTTCTACAAAAAGAGTGTTTCAAAGCTGAACTATCAAAGAAAGGTTCAGCACTTGTGAGTTGAATGCAAACATCACGAAGAAGGTTCTGAGGATGCTTCTGTTTAGTTCTGTGCGGTTTATCCCGTTTCCAACGAAATCCTCAGAGAGGACCAAATATCGACTTGCAGATTCTACAAGAAGAGTGTTTCAAAGCTGAACTATCAAAGAAAGGTTCAGCACTGTGAGTTGAATGCAAACATCACGAAGAGGGTTCTCAGAATGCTTCTGTCTTCTTTCTATAGGAAGTTATTTCCTTTACTACGGTAGGCCTCAAAGAAGTGCAATTATCCCCTTGCAGTTTCTACAAAAAGAGTGTTTCAAACCTGAACTATCAAAGAAAGGTTCCACACTGTGAGTTGAATGCAGACATCACGAAGAAGGTTCTGAGAATGCTTCTGTTTAGTCAGCTGAAATTATCCCGTTTCCAACGAATTCCTCAGAGAGGTCCAAATATGCACTTGCAGATTCTGCAGAAAGTGTGTTTCTAAACTGCTCCATCGCAAGGAATGTTCAGCTCTGTGAGTTCCACTCAATCATCCCAAAGAATTTTCTGAGAAAGCTTCTGTCTAGATGTCGTGTGAAGTTATACCCGTTTCGAACGAAGGACACAGAGTGGTCCAAATATCCACTTGTAGATCCTGCAAAAAGAGTGTTTCAAACGTGAACTTTGAAAGGAAAGTTCAACTCTGGGATTTGAATGCAAACATCACAAAGAAGATTCTGAGACTGCTTCTGTATAGTTTTTATGTGAAGATGATTCCGTTTCCAAAGAAATCTTCAAAGAGGTCTACATGTCCCCTTGCAGATGCCACAGAAAGAGAGTTTCAAAACTGCGCTCTCAAAAGGAGTGTTCAACTCCGTGAGTTGAATGCAGTCATCACAGAGAAGCTTCTGAGAATGCTTCTGTCTAGTATTTAGGTGAAGATATTTCCTTTTCCACCACAAACCACAAAGCCCTCCAAACGTCCACTTGCAGATTCTAGAAAAAGAGTGTTTCATAGCTGCTCTTTCCAAAGGAAAGTTCAACTCTGGGAGTTGAATACAAACATCACCAAAAAGTTCCTGAGAATGCATCTGTCTAGTTTTTCTATGAAGCTATTCCCTTTACTACCATAGGCCTCAAAGCGCTCCAAATCTCCACTTGCACATTCCACAACAAGAGTGTTTCCAAACTGCTCTATCAATAGGAATGTTCAACTCTGTGAGGTGAATGCAATCATCACAAAGCAGTTTCTGAGAATGCTTCCGTTTAGTTAGGTGCAGTTATCCCGTTTCCAACGAAATCCTCAGAGAGGTCCAAATATCCACTTGTAGATTCTACAAAAAGTGTGTCTCAAACCTGCTCCATCCAAAGGAATGGTCAGCTCTGTGATTTAAACTCAATCATCACAAAGTATTTTCTGAGAATGCTTCTGTCTAGATTTTATGCGAAGATATACCCGTTTCGAACGAAGGCCACAGAGTGGTCCAAATAGCCACTTGCAGATCCTACAGAAAGAGTGTTTCAAACCTGAACTATCAAAGGAAGGTTCAACTCTGGGATTTGAATGCAAACATCACCAAGAAGTTTCTGAGAATGCTTCTGTTAAGTTTTTATGTGAAGATATTCCCGTTTCCAAAGACATCTTCGGAGAGGTCCACATATCCACTTGCAGATTCCACAAAAAGAGAGTTTCAACACTGCTCTATCCATAGGAGGGTTCAACTCTGTGAGTTGAATGCAATCATCACAGAGAAGTTTCTGAGAAGGCTTCTCTCCAGTTTTTATGTGACCATAATTCGTTTTCCACCACAGGCCTGAAAGCGCTCCAAATGTCCACTTGTAGACACTACGAAAAGCATGTTTCAGAACTACTCTATGAAAAGCAATGTGAAACTCTGGGAGTTGAACACAAACATCACAGAGAAGTTTCTGAGAATGCTTCTGTTTAGCTTTCCTGTGAAGATTCTCCCGTTTCCAACGAAATCTTCAAAATAGGTCCAAATATCCACTTGCAGATTCCACAGAAAGAGTGATTGGAAACTGCTCTTTGAAAAGGAACCTTCAACTCTGTGAGTTGAATGCAATCATCACAAAGAAGTTTCTGACAATGCTTCTATCTAGCTTTTACGGGAAGATAATTCCTTTTCCACCACAGGCCTCAAAGCTCCCCAAATGTCCACTTGCACATTCTGGAAAAAGAGTGTTTCAAAGCTTCTCTCTCGAAAGGAAAGTTCAACTCTGTGAGTTGAATGCAAGCATCACAAAGAAGTTTCTGAGAATGCTACTGTCTAGCTTTTATATGAAGCTATTTCCTTTACTA
This sequence comes from Homo sapiens, assembly GCF_000001405.40. NCBI lineage: Eukaryota > Metazoa > Chordata > Mammalia > Primates > Hominidae > Homo > Homo sapiens. The sequence continues at coordinate 25,715,376 of NC_000017.11, read as the reverse complement.
CCATAGGCCTCAAAGCGGTCCATATCTCCACTTGCAGATTCTACACAAAGAGAGTTTCCAAACTGCTCTGTCAAAGGGAATGTTCAACTCTGTGACTTGAATGCAATAATCAGAAAGTAGTTTCTGAGAATGCTTCTGTTTAGTTCTGTGCGGTTTATCCCGTTTCCAACGAAATCCTCAGAGAGGCCCAAATATCCACTTGCACATTCTACAAATAGTGTGTTTCGAAACTGCTCCATCCAAAGGAATGTTCAGCTCTGTGAGTTAAACTCAGTCGTCACCAAGAGTTTTACTGTGAATGCTATCTGTTTAGTTCTGTGCGGTTTATCCCGTTTCCAACGAAATCCTCAGAGAGGCCCAAATATCCACTTGCAGTTTCTACAAAAAGAGAGTTTCAAAGCTGAACTATCAAAGAAAGTTTCAGCACTGTGGGTTGAATGCAAACATCACGAAGATGGTTCTGAGAATGCTTCTGTTTAGTTCTGTGCGGTTTATCCCGTTTCCAACGAAATCCTCAGAGAGGACCAAATATCCACTTGCAGTTTCTACAAAAAGAGTGTTTCAAAGCTGAACTATCAAAGAAAGGTTCAGCAGTGTGAGTTGAATGCAAACATCACGAAGAAGGTTCTGAGAATGCTTCTGTCTTCTTTTTATAGGAAGTTATATCCTTTACTATGGTAGGCCTCAAAGAAGTGCAATTATCCCCTTGCAGTTTCTACAAAAAGAGTGTTTCAAACCTGAACTATCAAATAAAGGTTCCACACTGTGAGTTGAATGCAGACATCACGAAGAAGGTTCTGAGAATGCTTCTGTTTAGTCAGCTGAAATTATCCCGTTTCCAACGAATTCCTCAGAGAGGTCCAAATATGCACTTGCAGATTCTGCAGAAAGTGTGTTTCTAAACTGCTCCATCGCAAGGAATGTTCAGCTCTGTGAGTTCAACTCAATCATCCCAAAGAATTTTCTGAGAAAGCTTCTGTCTAGATGTCGTGTGAAGATATACCCGTTTCGAACGAAGGACACAGAGTGGTCCAAATATCCACTTGTAGATCCTGCAAAAAGAGTGTTTCAAACGTGAACTTTGAAAGGAAAGTTCAACTGCTGGGATTTGAATGCAAACATCACAAAGAAGATTCTGAGACTGCTTCTGTATAGTTTTTATGTGAAGATGATTCCGTTTCCAACGAAATCTTCAAAGAGGTCTACATGTCCCCTTGCAGATGCCACAGAAAGAGAGTTTCAAAACTGCGCTCTCAAAAGGAGTGTTCAACTCCGTGAGTTGAATGCAGTCATCACAGAGAAGCTTCTGAGAATGCTTCTATCTAGTATTTAGGTGAAGATATTTCCTTTTCCACCACAAACCACAAAGCCCTCCAAACGTCCACTTGCAGATTCTAGAAAAAGAGTGTTTCATAGCTGCTCTTTCCAAAGGAAAGTTCAACTCTTGGGAGTTGAATACAAACATCACCAAAAAGTTCCTGAGAATGCATCTGTCTAGTTTTTCTATGAAGCTATTCCCTTTACTACCATAGGCCTCAAAGCGCTCCAAATCTCCACTTGCACATTCCACAACAAGAGTGTTTCCAAACTGCTCTATCAATAGGAATGTTCAACTCTGTGAGGTGAATGCAATCATCACAAAGCAGTTTCTGAGAATGCTTCCGTTTAGTTAGGTGCAGTTATCCCGTTTCCAACGAAATCCTCAGAGAGGTCCAAATATCCACTTGTAGATTCTACAAAAAGTGTGTCTCAAACCTGCTCCATCCAAAGGAATGTTCAGCTCTGTGATTTAAACTCAATCATCACAAAGTATTTTCTGAGAATGCTTCTGTCTAGATTTTATGTGAAGATGTACCCGTTTCGAACGAAGGCCACAGAGTGGTCCAAATATCCACTTGCAGATCCTACAAAAAGAGTGTTTCAAACCTGAACTATCACAGGAAGGTTCAACTCTGGGATTTGAATGCAAACATCACCAAGAAGTTTCTGAGAATGCTTCTGTTTAGTTTTTATGTGAAGATATTCCCGTTTCCAAAGACATCTTCGGAGAGGTCCACATATCCACTTGCAGATTCCACAAAAAGAGAGTTTCAACACTGCTCTATCCATAGGAGGGTTCAAGTCTGTGAGTTGAATGCAATCATCACAGAGAAGGTTCTGAGAAGGCTTCTCTCCAGTTTTTATGGGACCATAATTCGTTTTCCACCACAGGCCTGAAAGCGCTCCAAATGTCCACTTGCAGACACTACGAAAAGCATGTTTCAGAACTACTCTATGAAAAGCAATGTGAAACTCTGGGAGTTGAACACAAACATCACAGAGAAGTTTCTGAGAATGCTTCTGTTTAGCTTTTCTGTGAAGATTCTCCCGTTTCCAACGAAATCTTCAAAGAGGTCCAAATATCCACTTGCAGATTCCACAGAAAGAGTGATTGGAAACTGCTGTTTGAAAAGGAACCTTCAACTCTGTGAGTTGAATGCAATCATCACAAAGAAGTTTCTGACAATGCTTCTATCTAGCTTTTACGGGAAGATAATTCCTTTTCCACCACAGGCCTCAAAGCCCTCCAAATGTCCACTTGCAGATTCTGGAAAAAGAGTGTTTCAAAGCTTCTCTCTCCAAAGGAAAGTTCAACTCTGTGAGTTGAATGCAAGCATCACAAAGAAGTTTCTGAGAATGCTACTGTCTAGCTTTTATATGAAGCTATTTCCTTTACTACCATAGGCCTCAAAGCGGTCCATATCTCCACTTGCAGATTCTACACAAAGAGAGTTTCCAAACTGCTCTGTCAAAGGGAATGTTCAACTCTGTGACTTGAATGCAATCATCACAAAGTAGTTTCTGAGAATGCTTCTGTTTTAGTTCTGTGCGGTTTATCCCGTTTCCAACGAAATCCTCAGAGAGGCCCAAATATCCACTTGCAGATTCTACAAATAGTGTGTTTCGAAACTGCTCCATCCAAAGGAATGTTCAGCTCTGTGAGTTAAACTCAGTCGTCACCAAGAGTTTTCTGTGAATGCTTCTGTTTTAGTTCTGTGCGGTTTATCCCGTTTCCAACGAAATCCTCAGAGAGGTCCAAATATCTTCTTGCAGTTTCTACAGAAAGACCGTTTCAAACCTGAACTATCAAAGAAAGGTTCAACACTGTGAGTTGAATGCAAACATCACGAAGAAGGTTCTGAGAATGCTTCTGTTTAGTTCTGTGCGGTTTATCCCGTTTCCAACGAAATCCTCAGAGAGGACCAAATATCCACTTGCAGTTTCTACAAGAAGAGTGTTTCAAAGCTGAACTATCAAAGAAAGTTTCAGCGCTGTGAGTTGAATGCAAACATCACGAAGAGGGTTCTGAGAATGCTTCTGTCTTCTTTCTATAGGAAGTTATTTCCTTTACTACGGTAGGCCTCAAAGAAGTGCAATTATCCCCTTGCAGTTTCTACAAAAAGAGTGTTTCAAACCTGAACTATCAAAGAAAGGTTCCACACTGTGAGTTGAATGCAGACATCACGAAGAAGGTTCTGAGAATGCTTCTGTTTAGTCAGCTGAAATTATCCCGTTTCCAACGAATTCCTCAGAGAGGTCCAAATATGCACTTGCAGATTCTGCAGAAAGTGTGTTTCTAAACTGCTACATCGCAAGGAATGCTCAGCTCTGTGAGTTCAACTCAATCATCCCAAACAATTTTCTGAGAAAGCTTCTGTCTAGATGTCATGTGAAGATATACCCGTTTCGAACGAAGGACACAGATTGGTCCAAATATCCACTTGTAGATCCTGCAAAAAGAGTGTTTCAAACGTGAACTTTGAAAGGAAAGTTCAACTCTGGGATTTGAATGCAAACATCACAAAGAAGATTCTGAGACTGCTTCTGTATAGTTTTTATGTGAAGATGATTCCGTTTCCAACGAAATCTTCAAAGAGGTCTACATGTCCCCTTGCAGATGCCACAGAAAGAGAGTTTCAAAACTGCGCTCTCAAAAGGAGTGTTCAACTCCGTGAGTTGAATGCAGTCATCACAGAGAAGCTTCTGAGAATGCTTCTATCTAGTATTTAGGTGAAGATATTTCCTTTTCCACCACAAACCACAAAGCCCTCCAAACGTCCACTTGCAGATTCTAGAAAAAGAGTGTTTCATAGCTGCTCTTTCCAAAGGAAAGTTCAACTCTGGGAGTTGAATACAAACATCACCAAAAAGTTCCTGAGAATGCATTCTGTCTAGTTTTTCTATGAAGCTATTCCCTTTACTACCATAGGCCTCAAAGCGCTCCAAATCTCCACTTGCACATTCCACAACAAGAGTGTTTCCAAACTGCTCTATCAATAGGAATGTTCAACTCTGTGAGGTGAATGCAATCATCACAAAGCAGTTTCTGAGAATGCTTCCGTTTAGTTAGGTGCAGTTATCCCGTTTCCAACGAAATCCTCAGAGAGGTCCAAATATCCACTTGTAGATTCTACAAAAAGTGTGTCTCAAACCTGCTCCATCCAAAGGAATGTTCAGCTCTGTGATTTTAACTCAATCATCACAAAGTATTTTCTGAGAATGCTTCTGTCTAGATTTTATGCGAAGATATACCCGTTTCGAACGAAGGCCACAGAGTGGTCCAAATATCCACTTGCAGATCCTACAAAAAGAGTGTTTCAAACCTGAACTATCAAAGGAAGGTTCGACTCTGGGATTTGAATGCAAACATCACCAAGAAGTTTCTGAGAATGCTTCTGTTTAGTTTTTATGTGAAGATATTCCCGTTTCCAAAGACATCTTCGGAGAGGTCCACATATCCACTTGCAGGTTCCACAAAAAGAGAGTTTCAACACTGCTCTATCCATAGGAGGGTTCAACTCTGTGAGTTGAATGCAATCATCACAGAGAAGTTTCTGAGAAGGCTTCTCTCCAGTTTTTATGGGACCATAATTCGTTTTCCACCACAGGCCTGAAAGCGCTCCAAATGTCCACTTGTAGACACTACGAAAAGCATGTTTCAGAACTTCTCTATGAAAAGCAATGTGAAACTCTGGGAGTTGAACACAAACATCACAGAGAAGTTTCTGAGAATGCTTCTGTTTAGCTTTTCTGTGAAGATTCTCCCGTTTCCAACGAAATCTTCAAAGAGGTCCAAATATCCACTTGCAGATTCCACAGAAAGAGTGTTTGGAAACTGCTGTTTGTAAAGGAACCTTCATCTCTGTGAGTTGAATGCAATCATCACAAAGAAGTTTCTGACAATGCTTCTGTCTAGCTTTTACGGGAAGATAATTCCTTTTCCACCACAGGCCTCAAAGCCCTCCAAATGTCCACTTGCAGATTCTGGAAAAGAGTGTTTCAAAGCTTCTCTCTCGAAAGGAAAGTTCAACTCTGTGAGTTGAATGCAAGCATCACAAAGAAGTTTCTGAGAATGCTACTGTCTAGCTTTTATATGAAGCTATTTCCTTTACTACCATAGGCCTCAAAGCGGTCCATATCTCCACTTGCAGATTCTACACAAAGAGAGTTTCCAAACTGCTCTGTCAAAGGGAATGTTCAACTCTGTGACTTGAATGCAATCATCACAAAGTAGTTTCTGAGAATGCTTCTGTTTAGTTCTGTGCGGTTTATCCCGTTTCCAACGAAATCCTCAGAGAGGCCCAAATATCCACTTGCACATTCTACAAATAGTGTGTTTCGAAACTGCTCCATCCAAAGGAATGTTCAGCTCTGTGAGTTAAACTCAGTCGTCACCAAGAGTTTTCTGTGAATGCTTCTGTTTTAGTTCTGTGCGGTTTATCCCGTTTCCAACGAAATCCTCAGAGAGGTCCAAATATCTACTTGCAGTTTCTACAGAAAGACCGTTTCCAACCTGAACTATCAAAGAAAGGTTCAACACTGTGAGTTGAATGCAAACATCACGAAGAAGGTTCTGAGAATGCTTCTGTTTAGTTCTGTGCGGTTTATCCTCTTTCCAACGAAATCCTCAGAGAAGACCAAATATCCACTTGCAGTTTCTACAAAAAGAGTGTTTCAAAGCTGAACTATCAAAGAAAGGTTCAGCACTGTGAGTTGAATGCAAACATCACGAAGAGGGTTCTGAGAATGCTTCTGTCTTCTTTCTATAGGAAGTTATTTCCTTTACTACGGTAGGCCTCAAAGAAGTGCAATTATCCCCTTGCAGTTTCTACAAAAAGAGTGTTTCAAACCTGAACTATCAAAGAAAGGTTCCACACTGTGAGTTGAATGCAGACATCACGAAGAAGGTTCTGAGAATGCTTCTGTTTAGTCAGCTGTAATTATCCCGTTTCCAACGAATTCCTCAGAGAGGTCCAAATATGCACTTGCAGATTCTGCAGAAAGTGTGTTTCTAAACTGCTACATCGCAAGGAATGTTCAGCTCTGTGAGTTCCACTCAATCATCCCAAAGAATTTTCTGAGAAAGCTTCTGTCTAGATGTCATGTGAAGATATACCCGTTTCGAACGAAGGACACAGAGTGGTCCAAATATCCACTTGTAGATCCTGCAAAAAGAGTGTTTCAAACGTGAACTTTGAAAGGAAAGTTCAACTCTGGGATTTGAATGCAAACATCAAAAAGAAGATTCTGAGACTGCTTCTGTATATTTTTTATGTGAAGAAGATTCCGTTTCCAACGAAATCTTCAAAGAGGTCTACATGTCCCCTTGCAGATGCCACAGAAAGAGAGTTTCAAAACTGCGCTCTCAAAAGGAGTGTTCAACTCCCTGAGTTGAATGCAGTCATCACAGAGAAGCTTCTGAGAATGCTTCTATCTAGTATTTAGGTGAAGATATTTCCTTTTCCACCACAAACCACAAAGCCCTCCAAACGTCCACTTGCAGATTCTAGAAAAAGAGTGTTTCATAGCTGCTCTTTCCAAAGGAAAGTTCAACTCTGGGAGTTGAATACAAACATCACCAAAAAGTTCCTGAGAATGCATCTGTCTAGTTTTTCTATGAAGCTATTCCCTTTACTACCATAGGCCTCAAAGCGCTCCAAATCTCCACTTGCACATTCCACAACAAGAGTGTTTCCAAACTGCTCTATCAATAGGAATGTTCAACTCTGTGAGGTGAATGCAATCATCACAAAGCAGTTTCTGAGAATGCTTCCGTTTAGTTAAGTGCAGTTATCCCGTTTCCAACGAAATCCTCAGAGAGGTCCAAATATCCACTTGTAGATTCTACAAAAAGTGTGTCTCAAACCTGCTCCATCGAAAGGAATGGTCAGCTCTGTGATTTAAACTCAATCATCACAAAGTATTTTCTGAGAATGCTTCTGTCTAGATTTTATGCGAAGATATACCCGTTTCGAACGAAGGCCACAGAGTGGTCCAAATAGCCACTTGCAGATCCTACAAAAAGAGTGTTTCAAACCTGAACTATCAAAGGAAGGTTCAACTCTGGGATTTGAATGCAAACATCACCAAGAAGTTTCTGAGAATGCTTCTGTTTAGTTTTTATGTGAAGATATTCCCGTTTCCAAAGACATCTTCGGAGAGGTCCACATATCCACTTGCAGATTCCACAAAAAGAGAGTTTCAACACTGCTCTATCCATAGGAGGGTTCAACTCTGTGAGTTGAATGCAATCATCACAGAGAAGTTTCTGAGAAGGCTTCTCTCCAGTTTTTATGTGACCATAATTCGTTTTCCACCACAGGCCTGAAAGCGCTCCAAATGTCCACTTGCAGACACTACGAAAAGCATGTTTCAGAACTACTCTATGAAAAGCAACGTGAAACTCTGGGAGTTGAACACAAACATCACAGAGAAGTTTCTGAGAATGCTTCTGTTTTAGTTCTGTGCGTTTTATCCCGTTTCCAACGAAATCCTCAGAGAGGCCCAAATATCCACTTGCAGATTCCACAGAAAGAGTGATTGGAAACTGCTGTTTGAAAAGGAACCTTCAACTCTGTGAGTTGAATGCAATCATCACAAAGAAGTTTCTGACAATGCTTCTGTTTTAGTTCTGTGCGGTTTATCCCGTTTCCAACGAAATCCTCAGAGAGGACCAAACATCCACTTGCAGTTTCTACAAAAAGAGTGTTTCAAAGCTGCACTATCAAAGAAAGGTTCAGCACTGTGAGTTGAATGCAAACATCACGAAGAGGGCTCTGAGAATTCTTCTGTCTTCTTTCTATAGGGAAGTTATTTCCTTTACTACGGTAGGCCTCAAAGAAGTGCAATTATCCCCTTGCAGTTTCTACAAAAAGAGTGTTTCAAACCTGAACTATCAAAGAAAGGTTCCACACTGTGAGTTGAATGCAGACATCACGAAGAAGGTTCTGAGAATGCTTCTGTTTAGTCAGCTGAAATTATCCCGTTTCCAACGAATTCCTCAGAGAGGTCCAAATATGCACTTGCAGATTCTGCAGAAAGTGTGTTTCTAAACTGCTACATCGCAAGGAATGTTCAGCTCTGTGAGTTCAACTCAATCATCCCAAAGAATTTTCTGAGAAAGCTCTGTCTAGATGTCGTGTGAAGATATACCCGTTTCGAACGAAGGACACAGAGTGGTCCAAATATCCACTTGTAGATCCTGCAAAAAGAGTGTTTCAAACGTGAACTTTGAAAGGAAAGTTCAACTCTGGGATTTGAATGCAAACATCACAAAGAAGATTCTGAGACTGCTTTCTGTATAGTTTTTATGTGAAGATGATTCCGTTTCCAACGAAATCTTCAAAGAGGTCTACATGTCCCCTTGCAGATGCCACAGAAAGAGAGTTTCAAAACTGCGCTCTCAAAAGGAGTGTTCAACTCCGTGAGTTGAATGCAGTCATCACAGAGAAGCTTCTGAGAATGCTTCTATCTAGTATTTAGGTGAAGATATTTCCTTTTCCACCACAAACCACAAAGCCCTCCAAACGTCCACTTGCAGATTCTAGAAAAAGAGTGTTTCATAGCTGCTCTTTCCAAAGGGAAAGTTCAACTCTGGGAGTTGAATACAAACATCACCAAAAAGTTCCTGAGAATGCATCTGTCTAGTTTTTCTATGAAGCTATTCCCTTTACTACCATAGGCCTCAAAGCGCTCCAAATCTCCACTTGCACATTCCACAACAAGAGTGTTTCCAAACTGCTCTATCAATAGGAATGTTCAACTCTGTGAGGTGAATGCAATCATCACAAAGCAGTTTCTGAGAATGCTTCCGTTTAGTTAGGTGCAGTTATCCCGTTTCCAACGAAATCCTCAGAGAGGTCCAAATATCCACTTGTAGATTCTACAAAAAGTGTGTCTCAAACCTGCTCCATCCAAAGGAATGTTCAGCTGCTGTGAGTTAAACTCAATCATCACAAAGTATTTTCTGAGAATGCTTCTGTCTAGATTTTATGCGAAGATGTACCCGTTTCGAACGAAGGCCACAGAGTGGTCCAAATATCCACTTGCAGATCCTACAAAAAGAGTGTTTCAAACCTGAACTCTCAAAGGAAGGTTCAAATCTGGGATTTGAATGCAAACATCACGAAGAAGTTTCTGAGAATGCTTCTGTTTAGTTTTTATGTGAAGATATTCCCGTTTCCAAAGACATCTTCGGAGAGGTCCACATATCCACTTGCAGATTCCACAAAAAGAGAGTTTCAACACTGCTCTATCCATAGGAGGGTTCAACTCTGTGAGTTGAATGCAATCATCACAGAGAAGTTTCTGAGAAGGCTTCTCTCCAGTTTTTATGTGACCATAATTCGTTTTCCACCACAGGCCTGAAAGCGCTCCAAATGTCCACTTGCAGACACTACGAAAAGCATGTTTCAGAACTACTCTATGAAAAGCAACGTGAAACTCTGGGAGTTGAACACAAACATCACAGAGAAGTTTCTGAGAATGCTTCTGTTTTAGTTCTGTGCGTTTTATCCCGTTTCCAACGAAATCCTCAGAGAGGCCCAAATATCCACTTGCAGATTCCACAGAAAGAGTGATTGGAAACTGCTGTTTGAAAAGGAACCTTCAACTCTGTGAGTTGAATGCAATCATCACAAAGAAGTTTCTGACAATGCTTTTCTGTTTTAGTTCTGTGCGGTTTATCCCGTTTCCAACGAAATCCTCAGAGAGGACCAAACATCCACTTGCAGTTTCTACAAAAAGAGTGTTTCAAAGCTGCACTATCAAAGAAAGGTTCAGCACTGTGAGTTGAATGCAAACATCACGAAGAGGGCTCTGAGAATTCTTCTGTTTAGTTCTGTGCGGTTTATCCCGTTTCCAACGAAATCCTCAGAGAGGACCAAATATCCACTTGCAGTTTCTACAAGAAGAGTGTTTCAAAGCTGAACTATCAAAGAAAGGTTCAGCACTTGTGAGTTGAATGCAAACATCACGAAGAGGGTTCTGAGAATGCTTCTGTCTTCTTTCTATAGGAAGTTATTTCCTTTACTACGGTAGGCCTCAAAGAAGTGCAATTATCCCCTTGCAGTTTCTACAAAAAGAGTGTTTCAAACCTGAACTATCAAAGAAAGGTTCCACACTGTGAGTTGAATGCAGACATCACGAAGAAGGTTCTGAGAATGCTTCTGTTTAGTCAGCTGAAATTATCCCGTTTCCAACGAATTCCTCAGAGAGGTCCAAATATGCACTTGCAGATTCTGCAGAAAGTGTGTTTCTAAACTGCTCCATCGCAAGGAATGTTCAGCTCTGTGAGTTCCACTCAATCATCCCAAAGAATTTTCTGAGAAAGCTTCTGTCTAGATGTCATGTGAAGATATACCCGTTTCGAACGAAGGACACAGAGTGGTCCAAATATCCACTTGTAGATCCTGCAAAAAGAGTGTTTCAAACGTGAACTTTGAAAGGAAAGTTCAACTCTGGGATTTGAATGCAAACATCACAAAGAAGATTCTGAGACTGCTTCTGTGTAGTTTTTATGTGAAGATGATTCCGTTTCCAACGAAATCTTCAAAGAGGTCTACATGTCCCCTTGCAGATGCCACAGAAAGAGAGTTTCAAAACTGCGCTCTCAAAAGGAGTGTTCAACTCCGTGAGTTGAATGCAGTCATCACAGAGAAGCTTCTGAGGATGCTTCTATCTAGTATTTAGGTGAAGATATTTCCTTTTCCACCACAAACCACAAAGCCCTCCAAACGTCCACTTGCAGATTCTAGAGAAACAGTGTTTCATAGCTGCTCTTTCCAAAGGAAAGTTCAACTCTGGGAGTTGAATACAAACATCACCAAAAAGTTCCTGAGAATGCATCTGTCTAGTTTTTCTATGAAGCTATTCCCTTTACTACCATAGGCCTCAAAGCGCTCCAAATCTCCACTTGCACATTCCACAACAAGAGTGTTTCCAAACTGCTCTATCAATAGGAATGTTCAACTCTGTGAGGTGAATGCAATCATCACAAAGCAGTTTCTGAGAATGCTTCCGTTTAGTTAGGTGCAGTTATCCCGTTTCCAACGAAATCCTCAGAGAGGTCCAAATATCCACTTGTAGATTCTACAAAAAGTGTGTCTCAAACCTGCTCCATCCAAAGGAATGTTCAGCTCTGTGAGTTCAACTCAATCATCACAAAGTATTTTCTGAGAATGCTTCTGTCTAGATTTTATGCGAAGATATACCCGTTTCGAACGAAGGCCACAGAGTGGTCCAAATAGCCACTTGCAGATCCTACAGAAAGAGTGTTTCAAACCTGAACTATCAAAGGAAGGTTCAACTCTGGGATTTGAATGCAAACATCACCAAGAAGTTTCTGAGAATGCTTCTGTTTAGTTTTTATGTGAAGATATTCCCGTTTCCAAAGACATCTTCGGAGAGGTCCACATATCCACTTGCAGATTCCACAAAAAGAGAGTTTCAACACTGCTCTATCCATAGGAGGGTTCAACTCTGTGAGTTGAATGCAATCATCACAGAGAAGTTTCTGAGAAGGCTTCTCTCCAGTTTTTATGTGACCATAATTCGTTTTCCACCACAGGCCTGAAAGCGCTCCAAATGTCCACTTGCAGACACTACGAAAAGCATGTTTCAGAACTACTCTATGAAAAGCAACGTGAAACTCTGGGAGTTGAACACAAACATCACAGAGAAGTTTCTGAGAATGCTTCTGTTTCAGTTCTGTGCGTTTTATCCCGTTTCCAACGAAATCCTCAGAGAGGCCCAAATATCCACTTGCAGATTCCACAGAAAGAGTGATTGGAAACTGCTGTTTGAAAAGGAACCTTCAACTCTGTGAGTTGAATGCAATCATCACAAAGAAGTTTCTGACAATGCTTCTATCTAGCTTTTACGGGAAGATAATTCCTTTTCCTCCACAGGCCTCAAAGCTCCCCAAATGTCCACTTGCACATTCTGGAAAAAGAGTGTTTCAAAGCTTCTCTCTCGAAAGGAAAGTTCAACTCTGTGAGTTGAATGCAAGCATCACAAAGAAGTTTCTGAGAATGCTACTGTCTAGCTTTTATATGAAGCTATTTCCTTTACTACCATAGGCCTCAAAGCGGTCCATATCTCCACTTGCAGATTCTACACAAAGAGAGTTTCCAAACTGCTCTGTCAAAGGGAATGTTCAACTCTGTGACTTGAATGCAATCATCACAAAGTAGTTTCTGAGAATGCTTCTGTTTAGTTCTCTGCGGTTTATCCCGTTTCCAACGAAATCCTCAGAGAGGCCCACATATCCACTTGCACCTTCTAGAAATAGTGTGTTTCGAAACTGCTCCATCCAAAGGAATGTTCAGCTCTGTGAGTTAAACTCAGTCGTCACCAAGAGTTTTCTGTGAATGCTTCTGTTTTAGTTCTGTGCGGTTTATCCCGTTTCCAACGAAATCCTCAGAGAGGTCCAAATATCTACTTGCAGTTTCTACAGAAAGACCGTTTCAAACCTGAACTATGAAAGAAAGGTTCAACACTGTGAGTTGAATGCAAACATCACGAAGAAGGTTCTGAGAATGCTTCTGTTTAGTTCTGTGCGGTTTATCCCGTTACCAATGAAATCCTCAGAGAGGACCAAATATCCACTTCCAGTTTCTACAAAAAGAGTGTTTCAAAGCTGAACTATCAAAGAAAGGTTCAGCACCGTGAGTTGAATGCAAACATCACGAAGAGGGTTCTGAGAATGCTTCTGTCTTCTTTTTATAGGAAGTTATTTCCTTTACTACGGTAGGCCTCAAAGAAGTGCAATGATCCCCTTGCAGTTTCTACAAAAAGAGTGTTTCAAACCTGAACTATCAAAGAAAGGTTCCACACTGTGAGTTGAATGCAGACATCACGAAGAAGGTTCTGAGAATGCTTCTGTTTAGTCAGCTGAAATTATCCCGTTTCCAACGAATTCCTCAGAGAGGTCCACATATGCACTTGCAGATTCTGCAGAAAGTGTGTTTCTAAACTGCTACATCGCAAGGAGTGTTCAGCTCTGTTTGCTCAACTCAATCATCGGAAAGAATTTTCTGAGAAAGCTTCTGTCTAGATGTCATGTGAAGATATACCCGTTTCGAACGAAGGACACAGAGTGGTCCAAATATCCACTTGTAGATCCTGCAAAAAGAGTGTTTCAAACGTGAACTTTGAAAGGCAAGTTCAACTCTGGGATTTGAATGCAAACATCACAAAGAAGATTCTGAGACTGCTTCTGTATAGTTTTGATGTAAAGATGATTCCGTTTCCAACGAAATCTTCAAAGAGGTCTACATGTCCCCTTGCAGATGCCACAGAAAGAGAGTTTCAAAACTGCGCTCTCAAAAGGAGTGTTCAACTCCGTGAGTTGAATGCAGTCATCACAGAGAAGCTTCTGAGAATGCTTCTATCTAGTATTTAGGTGAAGATATTTCCTTTTCCACCACAAACCACAAAGCCCTCCAAACGTCCACTTGCAGATTCTAGAAAAAGAGTGTTTCATAGCTGCTCTTTCCAAAGGAAAGTTCAACTCTGGGAGTTGAATACTAACATCACCAAAAAGTTCCTGAGAATGCATCTGTCTACTTTTTGTATGAAGCTATTCCCTTTACTACCATAGGCCTCAAAGCGCTCCAAATCTCCACTTGCACATTCCACAACAAGAGTGTTTCCAAACTGCTCTATCAATTGGAATGTTCTAGTCTGTGAAGTGAATGCAATCATCACAAAGCAGTTTCTGAGAATGCTTCCGTTTAGTTAGGTGCAGTTATCCCGTTTCCAACGAAATCCTCAGAGAGGTCCAAATATCCACTTGTAGATTCTACAAAAAGTGTGTCTCAAACCTGCTCCATCCAAAGGAATGTTCAGCTCTGTGAGTTAAACTCAATCATCACAAAGTATTTTCTGAGAATGCTTCTGTCTAGATTTTATGTGAAGATGTACCCGTTTCGAACGAAGGCCACAGAGTGGTCCAAATATCCACTTGAAGATCCTACAAAAAGAGTGTTTCAAACCTGAACTATCACAGGAAGGTTCAACTCTGGGATTTGAATGCAAACATCACCAAGAAGTTTCTGAGAATGCTTCTGTTTAGTTTTTATGTGAAGATATTCCCGTTTCCAAAGACATCTTCGGAGAGGTCCACATATCCACTTGCAGATTCCACAAAAAGAGAGTTTCAACAATGCTCTATCCATAGGAGGGTTCAAACCTGTGAGTTGAATGCAATCATCACAGAGAAGTTTCTGAGAAGGCTTCTCTCCAGTTTTTATGTGACCATAATTCGTTTTCCACCACAGGCCTGAAAGCGCTCCAAATGTCCACTTGTAGACACTACGAAAAGCATGTTTCAGAACTACTCTATGAAAAGCAATGTGAAACTCTGGGAGTTGAACACAAACATCACAGAGAAGTTTCTGAGAATGCTTCTGTTTAGCTTTTCTGTGAAGATTCTCCCGTTTCCAACGAAATCTTCAAAGAGGTCGAAATATCCACTTGCAGATTCCACAGAAAGAGTGATTGGAAACTGCTCTTTGAAAAGGAACCTTCAACTCTGTGAGTTGAATGCAATCATCACAAAGAAGTTTCTGACAATGCTTCTATCTAGCTTTTACGGGAAGATAATTCCTTTTCCACCACAGGCCTCAAAGCTCCCCAAATGTCCACTTGCACATTCTGGAAAAAGAGTGTTTCAAAGCTTCTCTCTCGAAAGGAAAGTTCAACTCTGTGAGTTGAATGCAAGCATCACAAAGAAGTTTCTGAGAATGCTACTGTCTAACTTTTATATGAAGCTATTTCCTTTACTACCATAGTCCTCAAAGCATTCCATATCTCCACTTGCAGATTCTACACAAAGAGAGTTACCAAACTGCTCTGTCAAAGGGAATGTTCAGCTCTGTGACTTGAATGCAATCATCACAAAGTAGTTTCTGAGAATGCTTCTGTTTTAGTTCTGTGCGGTTTATCCCGTTTCCAACGAAATCTTCAGAGAGGCCAAGGCATATCCACTTGCAAATTCTACAAATAGTGTGTTTCGAAACTGCTCCATCCAAAGGAATGTTCAGCTCTGTGGGTTAAACTCAGTCGTCACCAAGAGTTTTCTGTGAATGCTTCTGTTTAGTACTGTGCGGTTTATCCCATTTCCAACGAAATCCTCAGAGAGGACCAAATATCCAGTTGCAGTTTCTACAAAAAGAGTGTTTCAAAGCTGAACTATCAAAGAAAGGTTCAGCACTGTGTGTTGAATGCAAACATCACGAAGAGGGTTCTGAGAATGCTTCTGTCTTCTTTTTATAGGAAGTTATTTCCTTTACTACGGTAGGCCTCAAAGAAGTGCAATTATCCCCTTGCAGTTTCTACAAAAAGAGTGTTTCAAACCTGAACTATCAAAGAAAGGTTCCACACTGTGAGTTGAATGCAGACATCACGAAGAAGGTTCTGAGAATGCTTCTGTTTAGTCAGCTGAAATTATCCCGTTTCCAACGAATTCCTCAGAGAGGTCCAAATATGCACTTGCACATTCTGCAGAAAGTGTGTTTCTAAACTGCTACATCGCAAGGAATGTTCAGCTCTGTGAGTTCCACTCAATCATCCCAAAGAATTTTGCTGAGAAAGCTTCTGTCTAGATGTCGTGTGAAGATATACCCGTTTCGAACGAAGGACACAGAGTGGTCCAAATATCCACTTGTAGATCCTGCAAAAAGAGTGTTTCAAACGTGAACTTTGAAAGGAAAGTTCAACTCTGGGATTTGAATGCAAACATCACAAAGAAGATTCTGAGACTGCTTCTGTATAGTTTTTATGTGAAGATGATTCCGTTTCCAACAAAATCTTCAAAGAGGTCTACATGTCCCCTTGCAGATGCCACAGAAAGAGAGTTTCAAAACTGCGCTCTCAAAAGGAGTGTTCAACTCCGTGAGTTGAATGCAGTCATCACAGAGAAGCTTCTGAGAATGCTTCTATCTAGTATTTAGGTGAAGATATTTCCTTTTCCACCACAAACCACAAAGCCCTCCAAACGTCCACTTGCAGATTCTAGAAAAAGAGTGTTTCATAGCTGCTCTTTCCAAAGGAAAGTTCAACTCTGGGAGTTGAATACAAACATCACCAAAAAGTTCCTGAGAATGCATCTGTCTAGTTTTTCTATGAAGCTATTCCCTTTACTACCATAGGCCTCAAAGCGCTCCAAATCTCCACTTGCACATTCCACAACAAGAGTGTTTCCAAACTGCTCTATCAATAGGAATGTTCAACTCTGTGAGGTGAATGCAATCATCACAAAGCAGTTTCTGAGAATGCTTCCGTTTAGTTAGGTGCAGTTATCCCGTTTCCAACGAAATCCTCAGAGAGGTCCAAATATCCACTTGTAGATTCTACAAAAAGTGTGTCTCAAACCTGCTCCATCCAAAGGAATGGTCAGCTCTGTGATTTAAACTCAATCATCACAAAGTATTTTCTGAGAATGCTTCTGTCTAGATTTTATGCGAAGATATACCCGTTTCGAACGAAGGCCACAGAGTGGTCCAAATAGCCACTTGCAGATCCTACAGAAAGAGTGTTTCAAACCTGAACTATCAAAGGAAGGTTCAACTCTGGGATTTGAATGCAAACATCACCAAGAAGTTTCTGAGAATGCTTCTGTTTAGTTTTTATGTGAAGATATTCCCGTTTCCAAAGACATCTTCGGAGAGGTCCACATATCCACTTGCAGGTTCCACAAAAAGAGAGTTTCAACACTGCTCTATCCATAGGAGGGTTCAACTCTGTGAGTTGAATGCAATCATCACAGAGACGTTTCTGAGAAGGCTTCTCTCCAGTTTTTATGTGACCATAATTCGTTTTCCACCACAGGCCTGAAAGCGCTCCAAATGTCCACTTGCAGACACTACGAAAAGCATGTTTCAGAACTACTCTATGAAAAGCAACGTGAAACTCTGGGAGTTGAACACAAACATCACAGAGAAGTTTCTGAGAATGCTTCTGTTTAGCTTTTCTGTGAAGATTCTCCCGTTTCCAACGAAATCTTCAAAGAGGTCGAAATATCCACTTGCAGATTCCACAGAAAGAGTGATTGGAAACTGCTGTTTGAAAAGGAACCTTCAACTCTGTGAGTTGAATGCAATCATCACAAAGAAGTTTCTGACAATGCTTCTATCTAGCTTTTACGGGAAGATAATTCCTTTTCCACCACAGGCCTCAAAGCCCTCCAAATGTCCACTTGCAGATTCTGGAAAAAGAGTGTTTCAAAGCTTCTCTCTCGAAAGGAAAGTTCAACTCTGTGAGTTGAATGCAAGCATCACAAAGAAGTTTCTGAGAATGCTACTGTCTAGGTTTTATATGAAGCTATTTCCTTTACTACCATAGGCCTCAAAGCGGTCCATATCTCCACTTGCAGATTCTACACAAAGAGAGTTTCCAAACTGCTCTGTCAAAGGGAATGTTCAACTCTGTGACTTGAATGCAATCATCACAAAGTAGTTTCTGAGAATGCTTCTGTTTTAGTTCTGTGCGGTTTATCCCGTTTCCAACGAAATCCTCAGAGAGGCCCAAATATCCACCTGCAGATTCTACAAAGAGTGTGTTTCGAAACTGCTCCAAACAAGGGAATGTTCAGCTCTGTGAGTTAAACTCAGTCGTCACCAGGAGTTTTCTGTGAATGCTTCTGCTTAGTTCTGTGCGGTTTATCCCTTTTCCAACGAAATCCTCAGAGAGGACCAAATATCCACTTGCAGTTTCTACAAAAAGAGTGTTTCAAAGCTGAACTATCAAAGAAAGGTTCAGCACTGTGAGTTGAATGCAAACATCACGAAGAGGGTTCTGAGAATGCTTCTGTCTTCTTTTTATAGGAAGTTATTTCCTTTACTACGGTAGGCCTCAAAGAAGTGCAATTATCCCCTTGCAATTTCTACAAAAAGAGTGTTTCAAACCTGAACTATCAAAGAAAGGTTCCACACTGTGAGTTGAATGCAGACATCACGAAGAAGGTTCTGAGAATGCTTCTGTTTAGTCAGCTGAAATTATCCCGTTTCCAAGGAATTCCTCAGAGAGGTCCACATATGCACTTGCAGATTCTGCAGGAAGTGTGTTTCTAAACTGCTACATCGCAAGGAGTGTTCAGCTGTGTTTGCTCAACTCAATCATCCCAAAGAATTTTCTGAGAAAGCTTCTGTTTAGATGTCATGTGAAGATAAACCCGTGTCGAACGAAGGACACAGAGTGGTCCAAATATCCACTTGTAGATCCTGCAAAAAGAGTGTTTCAAACGTGAACTTGGAAAGGAAAGTTCAACTCTGGGATTTGAATGCAAACATCACAAAGAAGATTCTGGGACTGCTTTTGTATAGTTTTGATGTGAAGATGATTCCGTTTCCAACGAAATCTTCAAAGAGGTCTACATGTCCCCTTGCAGATGCCACAGAAAGAGAGTTTCAAAACTGCGCTCTCAAAAGGAGTGTTCAACTCCGTGAGTTGAATGCAGTCATCACAGAGAAGCTTCTGAGAATGCTTCTATCTAGTATTTAGGTGAAGATATTTCCTTTTCCAACACAAACCACAAAGCCCTCCAAACGTCCACTTGCAGATTCTAGAAAAAGAGTGTTTCATAGCTGCTCTTTCCAAAGGAAAGTTCAACTCTGGGAGTTGAATACAAACATCACCAAAAAGTTCCTGAGAATGCATCTGTCTAGTTTTTCTATGAAGCTATTCCCTTTACTACCATAGGCCTCAAAGCGCTCCAAATCTCCACTTGCACATTCCACAACAAGAGTGTTTCCAAACTGCTCTATCAATAGGAATGTTCAACTCTGTGAGGTGAATGCAATCATCACAAAGCAGTTTCTGAGAATGCTTCCGTTTAGTTAGGTGCAGTTATCCCGTTTCCAACGAAATCCTCAGGAGAGGTCCAAATATCCACTTGTAGATTCTACAAAAGGTGTGTCTCAAACCTGCTCCATCCAAAGGAATGTTCAGCTCTGTGAGTTAAACTCAATCATCACAAAGTATTTTCTGAGAATGCTTCTGTCTAGATTTTATGTGAAGATGTACCCGTTTCGAACGAAGGCCACAGAGTGGTCCAAATATCCACTTGCAGATCCTACAAAAAGAGTGTTTCAAACCTGTACTATCACAGGAAGGTTCAACTCTGGGATTTGAATGCAAACATCACCAAGAAGTTTCTGAGAATGCTCTGTTTAGTTTTTATGTGAAGATATTCCCGTTTCCAAAGACATCTTCGGAGAGGTCCACATATCCACTTGCAGATTCCACAAAAAGAGAGTTTCAACACTGCTCTATCCATAGGAGGGTTCAACTCTGTGAGTTGAATGCAATCATCACAGAGAAGTTTCTGAGAAGGCTTTCTCTCCAGTTTTTATGTGACCATAATTCGTTTTCCACCACAGGCCTGAAAGCGCTCCAAATGTCCACTTGCAGACACTACGAAAAGCATGTTTCAGAACTACTCTATGAAAAGCAACGTGAAACTCTGGGAGTTGAACACAAACATCACAGAGAAGTTTCTGAGAATGCTTCTGTTTTAGTTCTGTGCGTTTTATCCCGTTTCCAACGAAATCCTCAGAGAGGCCCAAATATCCACTTGCAGATTCCACAGAAAGAGTGATTGGAAACTGCTGTTTGAAAAGGAACCTTCAACTCTGTGAGTTGAATGCAATCATCACAAAGAAGTTTCTGACAATGCTTTTCTGTTTTAGTTCTGTGCGGTTTATCCCGTTTCCAACGAAATCCTCAGAGAGGACCAAATATCCACTTGCAGTTTCTACAAAAAGAGTGTTTCAAAGCTGCACTATCAAAGAAAGGTTCAGCACTGTGAGTTGAATGCAAACATCACGAAGAGGGCTCTGAGAATTCTTCTGTTTAGTTCTGTGCGGTTTATCCCGTTTCCAACGAAATCCTCAGAGAGGACCAAATATCCACTTGCAGTTTCTACAAGAAGAGTGTTTCAAAGCTGAACTATCAAAGAAAGGTTCAGCACTGTGAGTTGAATGCAAACATCACGAAGAGGGTTCTGAGAATGCTTCTGTCTTCTTTCTATAGGAAGTTATTTCCTTTACTACGGTAGGCCTCAAAGAAGTGCAATTATCCCCTTGCAGTTTCTACAAAAAGAGTGTTTCAAACCTGAACTATCAAAGAAAGGTTCCACACTGTGAGTTGAATGCAGACATCACGAAGAAGGTTCTGAGAATGCTTCTGTTTAGTCAGCTGAAATTATCCCGTTTCCAACGAATTCCTCAGAGAGGTCCAAATATGCACTTGCAGATTCTGCAGAAAGTGTGTTTCTAAACTGCTCCATCGCAAGGAATGTTCAGCTCTGTGAGTTCCACTCAATCATCCCAAAGAATTTTCTGAGAAAGCTTCTGTCTAGATGTCATGTGAAGATATACCCGTTTCGAACGAAGGACACAGAGTGGTCCAAATATCCACTTGTAGATCCTGCAAAAAGAGTGTTTCAAACGTGAACTTTGAAAGGAAAGTTCAACTCTGGGATTTGAATGCAAACATCACAAAGAAGATTCTGAGACTGCTTCTGTATAGTTTTTATGTGAAGATGATTCCGTTTCCAACGAAATCTTCAAAGAGGTCTCCATGTCCCCTTGCAGATGCCACAGAAACAGAGTTTCAAAACTGCGCTCTCAAAAGGAGTGTTCAACTCCGTGAGTTGAATGCAGTCATCACAGAGAAGCTTCTGAGAATGCTTCTATCTAGTATTTAGGTGAAGATATTTCCTTTTCCACCACAAACCACAAAGCCCTCCAAACGTCCACTTGCAGATTCTAGAAAAAGAGTGTTTCATAGCTGCTCTTTCCAAAGGAAAGTTCAACTCTGGGAGTTGAATACAAACATCACCAAAAAGTTCCTGAGAATGCATCTGTCTAGTTTTTCTATGAAGCTATTCCCTTTACTACCATAGGCCTCAAAACGCTCCAAGTCTCCACTTGCACATTCCACAACAAGAGTGTTTCCAAACTGCTCTATCAATAGGAATGTTCAACTCTGTGAGGTGAATGCAATCATCACAAAGCAGTTTCTGAGAATGCTTCCGTTTAATTAGGTGCAGTTATCGCGTTTCCAACGAAATCCTCAGAGAGGTCCAAATATCCACTTTTAGATTCTACAAAAAGTGTGTCTCAAACCTGCTCCATCCAAAGGAATGTTCAGCTCTGTGAGTTAAACTCAATCATCACAAAGTATTTTCTGAGAATGCTTCTGTCTAGATTTTATGCGAAGATATACCCGTTTCGAACGAAGGCCACAGAGTGGTCCAAATAGCCACTTGCAGATCCTACAAAAAGAGTGTTTCAAACCTGAACTATCAAAGGAAGGTTCAACTCTGGGATTTGAATGCAAACATCACCAAGAAGTTTCTGAGAATGCTTCTGTTTAGTTTTTATGTGAAGATATTCCCGTTTCCAAAGACATCTTCGGAGAGGTCCACATATCCACTTGCAGATTCCACAAAAAGAGAGTTTCAACACTGCTCTATCCATAGGAGGGTTCAACTCTGTGAGTTGAATGCAATCATCACAGAGAAGTTTCTGAGAAGGCTTCTCTCCAGTTTTTATGTGACCATAATTCGTTTTCCACCACAGGCCTGAAAGCGCTCCAAATGTCCACTTGCAGACACTACGAAAAGCATGTTTCAGAACTACTCTATGAAAAGCAATGTGAAACTCTGGGAGTTGAACACAAACATCACAGAGAAGTTTCTGAGAATGCTTCTGTTTAGCTTTTCTGTGAAGATTATCCCGTTTCCAACGAAATCTTCAAAATAGGTCCAAATATCCACTTGCAGATTCCACAGAAAGAGTGATTGGAAACTGCTGTTTGAAAAGGAACCTTCAACTCTGTGAGTTGAATGCAATCATCACAAAGAAGTTTCTGACAATGCTTCTATCTAGCTTTTACGAGAAGATAATTCCTTTTCCACCACAGGCCTCAAAGCCCTCCAAATGTCCACTTGCAGATTCTGGAAAAAGAGTGTTTCAAAGCTTCTCTCTCGAAAGGAAAGTTCAACTCTGTGAGTTGAATGCAAGCATCACAAAGAAGTTTCTGAGAATGCTACTGTCTAGCTTTTATATGAAGCTATTTCCTTTACTACCATAGGCCTCAAAGCGGTCCATATCTCCACTTGCAGATTCTACACAAAGAGAGTTTCCAAACTGCTCTGTCAAAGGGAATGTTCAACTCTGTGACTTGAATGCAATCATCACAAAGTAGTTTCTGAGAATGCTTCTGTTTAGTTCTGTGCGGTTTATCCCGTTTCCAACGAAATCCTCAGAGAGGCCTAAATATCCACTTGCACATTCTACAAATAGTGTGTTTCGAAACTGCTCCATCCAAAGGAATGTTCAGCTCTGTGAGTTAAACTCAGTCGTCACCAAGAGTTTTCTGTGAATGCTTCTGTTTTAGTTCTGTGCGGGTTATCCCGTTTCCAACGAAATCCTCAGAGAGGTCCAAATATCTACTTGCAGTTTCTACAGAAAGACCGTTTCAAACCTGAACTATCAAAGAAAGGTTCAACACTGTGAGTTGAATGCAAACATCACGAAGAAGGTTCTGAGAATGCTTCTGTTTAGTTCTGTGCAGTTTATCCCGTTTCCAACGAAATCCTCAGAGAGGACCAAATATCCACTTGCAGTTTCTACAAAAAGAGTGTTTCAAAGCTGAACTATCAAAGAAAGGTTCAGCACTGTGAGTTGAATGCAAACATCACGAAGCAGGGTTCTGAGAATGCTTCTGTCTTCTTTCTATAGGAAGTTATTTCCTTTACTACGGTAGGCCTCAAAGAAGTGCAATTATCCCCTTGCAGTTTCTACAAAAAGAGTGTTTCAAACCTGAACTATCAAAGAAAGGTTCCACACTTGTGAGTTGAATGCAGACATCACGAAGAAGGTTCTGAGAATGCTTCTGTTTAGTCAGCTGAAATTATCCCGTTTCCAACGAATTCCTCAGAGAGGTCCAAATATGCACTTGCAGATTCTGCAGAAAGTGTGTTTCTAAACTGCTACATCACAAGGAGTGTTCAGCTCTGTTTCCTCAACTCAATCATCCCAAAGAATTTTCTGAGAAAGCTTCTGTCTAGATGTCGTGTGAAGTTATACCCGTTTCGAACGAAGGACACAGAGTGGTCCAAATATCCACTTGTAGATCCTGCAAAAAGAGTGTTTCAAACGTGAACTTTGAAAGGAAAGTTCAACTCCTGGGATTTGAATGCAAACATCACAAAGAAGATTCTGAGACTGCTTCTGTATAGTTTTTATGTGAAGATGATTCCGTTTCCAACGAAATCTTCAAAGAGGTCTACATGTCCCCTTGCAGATGCCACAGAAAGAGAGTTTCAAAACTACGCTCTCAAAAGGAGTGTTCAACTCCGTGAGTTGAATGCAGTCATCACAGAGAAGCTTCTGAGAATGCTTCTATCTAGTATTTAGGTGAAGATATTTCCTTTTCCACCACAAACCACAAAGCCCTCCAAACGTCCACTTGCAGATTCTAGAAAAAGAGTGTTTCATAGCTGCTCTTTCCAAAGGAAAGTTCAACTCTGGGAGTTGAATACAAACATCACCAAAAAGTTCCTGAGAATGCATCTGCCTAGTTTTTCTATGAAGCTATTCCCTTTACTACCATAGGCCTCAAAGCGCTCCAAATCTCCACTTGCACATTCCACAACAAGAGTGTTTCCAAACTGCTCTATCAATAGGAATGTTCAACTCTGTGAGGTGAATGCAATCATCACAAAGCAGTTTCTGAGAATGCTTCCGTTTAGTTAGGTGCAGTTATCGCGTTTCCAACGAAATCCTCAGAGAGGTCCAAATATCCACTTGTAGATTCTACAAAAAGTGTGTCTCAAACCTGCTCCATCCAAAGGAATGTTCAGCTCTGTGAGTTAAACTCAATCATCACAAAGTATTTTCTGAGAATGCTTCTGTCTAGATTTTATGCGAAGATATACCCGTTTCGAACGAAGGCCACAGAGTGGTCCAAATATCCACTTGCAGATCCTACAAAAAGAGTGTTTCAAACCTGAACTATCAAAGGAAGGTTCAACTCTGGGATTTGAATGCAAACATCACCAAGAAGTTTCTGAGAATGCTTCTGTTTAGTTTTTATGTGAAGATATTCCCGTTTCCAAAGACATCTTCGGCGAGGTCCACATATCCACTTGCAGATTCCACAAAAACAGAGTTTCAACACTGCTCTATCCATAGGAGGGTTCAACTCTGTGTGTTGAATGCAATCATCACAGAGAAGTTTCTGAGAAGGCTTCTCTCCAGTTTTTATGTGACCATAATTCGTTTTCCACCACAGGCCTGAAAGCGCTCCAAATGTCCACTTGCAGACACTACGAAAAGCATGTTTCAGAACTACTCTATGAAAAGCAACGTGAAACTCTGGGAGTTGAACACAAACATCACAGAGAAGTTTCTGAGAATGCTTCTGTTTTAGTTCTGTGCGTTTTATCCCGTTTCCAACGAAATCCTCAGAGAGGCCCAAATATCCACTTGCAGATTCCACAGAAAGAGTGATTGGAAACTGCTGTTTGAAAAGGAACCTTCAACTCTGTGAGTTGAATGCAATCATCACAAAGAAGTTTCTGACAATGCTTCTGTTTTAGTTCTGTGCGGTTTATCCCGTTTCCAACGAAATCCTCAGAGAGGACCAAACATCCACTTGCAGTTTCTACAAAAAGAGTGTTTCAAAGCTGCACTATCAAAGAAAGGTTCAGCACTGTGAGTTGAATGCAAACATCACGAAGAGGGCTCTGAGAATTCTTCTGTCTTCTTTTTATAGTAAGTTATCTCCTTTACTACGGTAGGCCTCAAAGAAGTGCAATGATCCCCTTGCAGTTTCTACAAAAAGAGTGTTTCAAACCTGAACTATCAAAGAAAGGTTCCACACTGTGAGTTGAATGCAGACATCACGAAGAAGGTTCTGAGAATGCTTCTGTTTAGTCAGCTGAAATTATCCCGTTTCCAACGAATTCCTCAGAGAGGTCCACATATGCACTTGCAGATTCTGCAGAAAGTGTGTTTCTAAACTGCTACATCGCAAGGAGTGTTCAGCTCTGTTTGCTCAACTCAATCATCACAAAGAATTTTCTGAGAAAGCTTCTGTCTAGATGTCATGTGAAGATATACCCGTTTCGAACGAAGGACACAGAGTGCTCCAAATATCCACTTGTACATCCTGCAAAAAGAGTGTTTCAAACGTGAACTTTGAAAGGGAAGTTCAACTCTGGGATTTGAATGCAAACATCACAAAGAAGATTCTGAGACTGCTTCTGTATAGTTTTTATGTGAAGATGATTCCGTTTCCAACGAAATCTTCAAAGAGGTCTACATGTCCCCTTGCAGATGCCACAGAAAGAGAGTTTCAAAACTGCGCTCTCAAAAGGAGTGTTCAACTCTGTGAGCTGAATGCAGTCATCACAGAGAAGCTTCTGAGAATGCTTCTATCTACTATTTAGGTGAAGATATTTCCTTTTCCACCACAAACCACAAAGCCCTCCAAACGTCCACTTACTGATTCTAGAAAAAGAGTGTTTCATAGCTGCTCTTTCCAAAGGAAAGTTCAACTCTGGGAGTTGAATACAAACAACACCAAAAAGTTCCTCAGAATGCATCTGTCTAGTTTTTCTATGAAGCTATTCCCTTTACTACCATAGGCCTCAAAGCGCTCCAAATCTCCACTTGCACATTCCACAACAAGAGTGTTTCCAAACTGCTCTATCAATAGGAATGTTCAACTCTGTGAGGTGAATGCAATCATCACAAAGCAGTTTCTGAGAATGCTTCCGTTTAGTTAGGTGCAGTTATCCCGTTTCCAACGAAATCCTCAGAGAGGTCCAAATATCCACTTGTAGATTCTACAAAAAGTGTGTCTCAAACCTGCTCCATCCAAAGGAATGTTCAGCTCTGTGATTTTAACTCAATCATCACAAAGTATTTTCTGAGAATGCTTCTGTCTAGATTTTATGCGAAGATATACCCGTTTCGAACGAAGGCCACAGAGTGGTCCAAATATCCACTTGCAGATCCTACAAAAAGAGTGTTTCAAACCTGAACTATCAAAGGAAGGTTCAACTCTGGGATTTGAATGCAAACATCACCAAGAAGTTTCTGAGAATGCTTCTGTTTAGTTTTTATGTGAAGATATTCCCGTTTCCAAAGACATCTTCGGAGAGGTCCACATATCCACTTGCAGATTCCACAAAAAGAGAGTTTCAACACTGCTCTATCCATAGAAGGGTTCAACTCTGTGAGTTGAATGCAATCATCACAGAGAAGTTTCTGAGAAGGCTTCTCTCCAGTTTTTATGTGACCATAATTCGTTTTCCACCACAGGCCTGAAAGCGCTCCAAATGTCCACTTGTAGACACTACGAAAAGCATGTTTCAGAACTACTCTATGAAAAGCAATGTGAAACTCTGGGAGTTGAACACAAACATCACAGAGAAGTTTCTGAGAATGCTTCTGTTTAGCTTTCCTGTGAAGATTCTCCCGTTTCCAACGAAATCTTCAAAATAGGTCCAAATATCCACTTGCAGATTCCACACAAAGAGTGATTGGAAACTGCTCTTTGAAAAGGAACCTTCAACTCTGTGAGTTGAATGCAATCATCACAAAGAAGTTTCTGACAATGCTTCCATCTAGCTTTTACGGGAAGATAATTCCTTTTCCACCACAGGCCTCAAAGCCCTCCAAATGTCCACTTGCAGATTCTGGAAAAAGAGTGTTTCAAAGCTTCTCTCTCGAAAGGAAAGTTCAACTCTGTGAGTTGAATGCAAGCATCACAAAGAAGTTTCTGAGAATGCTACTGTCTAGCTTTTATATGAAGCTATTTCCTTTACTACCATAGGCCTCAAAGCGGTCCATATCTCCACTTGCAGATTCTACACAAAGAGAGTTTCCAAACTGCTCTGTCAAAGGGAATGTTCAACTCTGTGACTTGAATGCAATCATCACAAAGTAGTTTCTGAGAATGCTTCTGTTTAGTTCTGTGCGGTTTATCCCGTTTCCAACGAAATCCTCAGAGAGGCCCAAATATCCACTTGCACATTCTACAAATAGTGTGTTTCGAAACTGCTCCATCCAAAGGAATGTTCAGCTCTGTGAGTTAAACTCAGTCGTCACCAAGAGTTTTCTGTGAATGCTTCTGTTTTAGTTCTGTGCGGTTTATCCCGTTTCCAACGAAATCCTCAGAGAGGTCCAAATATCTTCTTGCAGTTTCTACAGAAAGACCGTTTCAAACCTGAACTATCAAAGAAAGGTTCAACACTGTGAGTTGAATGCAAACATCACGAAGAAGGTTCTGAGAATGCTTCTGTTTAGTTCTGTGCGGTTTATCCCGTTTCCAACGAAATCCTCAGAGAGGACCAAATATCCACTTGCAGTTTCTACAAGAAGAGTGTTTCAAAGCTGAACTATCAAAGAAAGTTTCAGCGCTGTGAGTTGAATGCAAACATCACGAAGAGGGTTCTGAGAATGCTTCTGTCTTCTTTCTATAGGAAGTTATTTCCTTTACTACGGTAGGCCTCAAAGAAGTGCAATTATCCCCTTGCAGTTTCTACAAAAAGAGTGTTTCAAACCTGAACTATCAAAGAAAGGTTCCACACTGTGAGTTGAATGCAGACATCACGAAGAAGGTTCTGAGAATGCTTCTGTTTAGTCAGCTGAAATTATCCCGTTTCCAACGAATTCCTCAGAGAGGTCCAAATATGCACTTGCAGATTCTGCAGAAAGTGTGTTTCTAAACTGCTACATCGCAAGGAATGTTCAGCACTGTGAGTTCCACTCAATCATCCCAAAGAATTTTCCTGAGAAAGCTTCTGTCTAGATGTCGTGTGAAGATATACCCGTTTCGAACGAAGGACACAGAGTGGTCCAAATATCCACTTGTAGATCCTGCAAAAAGAGTGTTTCAAACGTGAACTTTGAAAGGAAAGTTCAACTCTGGGATTTGAATGCAAACATCACAAAGAAGATTCTGAGACTGCTTCTGTATAGTTTTGATGTGAAGATGATTCCGTTTCCAACGAAATCTTCAAAGAGGTCCACATGTCCCCTTGCGGATGCCACAGAAAGAGAGTTTCAAAACTGCGCTCTCAAAAGGAGTGTTCAACTCCGTGAGTTGAATGCAGTCATCACAGAGAAGCTTCTGAGAATGCTTCTATCTAGTATTTAGGTGAAGATATTTCCTTTTCCACCACAAACCACAAAGCCCTCCAAACGTCCACTTGCAGATTCTAGAAAAAGAGTGTTTCATAGCTGCTCTTTCCAAAGGAAAGTTCAACTCTGGGAGTTGAATACAAACATCACCAAAAAGTTCCTGAGAATGCATCTGTCTAGTTTTTCTATGAAGCTATTCCCTTTACTACCATAGGCCTCAAAGCGCTCCAAATCTCCACTTGCACATTCCACAACAAGAGTGTTTCCAAACTGCTCTATGAATAGGAATGTTCAACTCTGTGAGGTGAATGCAATCATCACAAAGCAGTTTCTGATAATGCTTCCGTTTAGTTAGGTGCAGTTATCCCGTTTCCAACGAAATCCTCAGAGAGGTCCAAATATCCACTTGTAGATTCTACAAAAAGTGTGTCTCAAACCTGCTCCATCCAAAGGAATGTTCAGCTCTGTGATTTAAACTCAATCATCACAAAGTATTTTCTGAGAATGCTTCTGTCTAGATTTTATGCGAAGATATACCCGTTTCGAACGAAGGCCACAGAGTGGTCCAAATAGCCACTTGCAGATCCTACAGAAAGAGTGTTTCAAACCTGAACTATCAAAGGAAGGTTCAACTCTGGGATTTGAATGCAAACATCACCAAGAAGTTTCTGAGAATGCTTCTGTTTAGTTTTTATGTGAAGATATTCCCGTTTCCAAAGACATCTTCGGAGAGGTCCACATATCCACTTGCAGATTCCACAAAAAGAGAGTTTCAACACTGCTCTATCCATAGGAGGGTTCAACTCTGTGAGTTGAATGCAATCATCACAGAGAAGTTTCTGAGAAGGCTTCTCTCCAGTTTTTATGTGACCATAATTCGTTTTCCACCACAGGCCTGAAAGCGCTCCAAATGTCCACTTGCAGACACTACGAAAAGCATGTTTCAGAACTACTCTATGAAAAGCAACGTGAAACTCTGGGAGTTGAACACAAACATCACAGAGAAGTTTCTGAGAATGCTTCTGTTTAGCTTTTCTGTGAAGATTCTCCCGTTTCCAACGAAATCTTCAAAGAGGTCCAAATATCCAGTTGCAGATTCCACAGAAAGAGTGATTGGAAACTGCTCTTTGAAAAGGAACCTTCAACTCTGTGAGTTGAATGCAATCATCACAAAGAAGTTTCTGACAATGCTTCTATCTAGCTTTTACGGGAAGATAATTCCTTTTCCACCACAGGCCTCAAAGCCCTCCAAATGTCCACTTGCAGATTCTGGAAAAAGAGTGTTTCAAAGCTTCTCTCTCGAAAGGAAAGTTCAACTCTGTGAGTTGAATGCAAGCATCACAAAGAAGTTTCTGAGAATGCTACTGTCTAGCTTTTATATGAAGCTATTTCCTTTACTACCATAGGCCACAAAGAGGTCCATATCTCCACTTGCAGATTCTACACAAAGAGAGTTTCCAAACTGCTCTGTCAAAGGGAATGTTCAACTCTGTGACTTGAATGCAATCATCACAAAGTAGTTTCTGAGAATGCTGAAGCATTTTCAGAACCCTTTTCATGATGTTTGCATTCAACTCACAGTGCTGAACCTTTCTTTGTTTTTTTTTTGTTTTTTTTTGTTTTTTTTTTTTTTGTATATTTCTTTTTTTTTTTTTTTTATTATACTCTAAGTTTTAGGGTACATGTGCACATTGTGCAGGTTAGTTACATATGTATACATGTGCCATGCTGGTGCGCTGCACCCACTAATGTGTCATCTAGCATTAGGTATATCTCCCAATGCTATCCCTCCCCACTCCCCCGACCCCACCACAGTCCCCAGAGTGTGATATTCCCCTTCCTGTGTCCATGTGATCTCATTGTTCAATTCCCACCTATGAGTGAGAATATGCGGTGTTTGGTTTTTTTTTCTTGTGTTAGTTTACTGAGAATGATGGTTTCCAATTTCATCCATGTCCCTACAAAGGATATGAACTCATCATTTTTATGG
>NC_000017.11:23113679-23194918 GCF_000001405.40 Homo sapiens | reverse complement strand
TCTGTCTAGATTTTATGTGAAGCTCTTCCCTTTACTACCATAGGCCTCAAAGCGCTCCAAATCTCCACTAGCCGATTCTACAAGAAGAGTGTTTCCAAACTGCTCTGTCAATAGGAATGCTCAACTCCGTGAGGTGAATGCAATCATCACAAAGTAGTTTCTGAGAAGGCTTCTATCTAGTATTTATGTGGAGATATTTCCTTTTCCACCACAAACCTCACAGCCCTCCCAATGTCCACTTGCAGATTCTGGAAAAAGAGTGTTTCATAGCTGCTCTTTCCGAAGGAAAGTTCAACTCTGGAAGTTGAATACAAACATCACCAAGGAGTTCCTGAGGATGCTTCTGTGTAATTTTTATGTGAAGATGATTCCGTTTCCAACGAAACCTTCAAAGAGGTCTGCATGTCCCCTTGCAGATTCCAGAGAAAGAGAGTTTCAAAACTGCGCTCTCAAAAGGAGTGTTCAACTCTGTGAGTTGAATGCAGTCATCACAGAAAAGTTTCTGAGAATGCTTCTGTCTAGATGTTATGTGAAGATATACCCGTTTCAAACGAAGTCCACAGAGTGGTCCGAATATCCACTTGTAGATCCTGCAAAAAGAGTGTTTCCAACCTGAACTTTCAAAGGAAGGTTCAATTCTGGGATTTGAATGCAAACATCACAAGAAGATTCTGAGACTGCTTCTGTTTACTTAGCTGAAATTATCCCGTTTGCAACGAATTCCTCAGACAGGTCCAAATATCCACTTGCAGATTGTACAGAAAGTGTGTTTCGAAACTACTCCATCCCAAAGAAAGTACTGCTCTGTGAGTTCAACTCAATCATCCCAGAGAATTTTCTGAGAAAGCTTCTGTCTTGTTTTTATAGGAAGTTATTTCCTTTACTACGATAGGCCTCAAAGAAGTGCAGTTATCCACTTGAAGTTTCTACAAAAAGAGTGTTTCAAACCTGAACTATCAAAGAAAGTTTCAACACTGTGGGTTGAATGCAAACATCACGAAGAAGGTTCTGAGAATGCTTCTGTTTAGTTCTGTGCGGTTTATCCCGTTTCCAACGCAATCCTCAGAGAGGCCCAAGTATCCGCTTGCAGATCCTACAGATAGTGTGTTTCCAAACTGCTCCATCCAAAGGAATGTTCAGCTCTGTGAGTTAAACTCAGTCGTCACAAAGAGTTTTCTGAGAATGCTGCTGTCTAGTTTTTATATGAAGTTGTTTCCTTTACTACCATAGGCCTCAAAGCGGTCCATATCTCCACTTGCAGATTCTACACAACGAGAGTTTCCAAAGTGCTCTCTGAAAGGGAATGTTCACCTCCGTGACTTGAATGCAATCGTCACAAAGTAGTTTCTGAGAATGCATCTATCTAGTTCTTACGGGAAGATAATTCCTGTTCCACCTCAGGCCTCAAAGCCCTCCAAATATCCACTTGCAGATTCTAGAAAAAGAGTGTTTCAAAGCTTCTCTCTCAAAAGGAAAGTTCAACTCTGTGAGTTGAAAGCAAACATCACAAAGAAGTTTCTTGAGCATGCTTCTGTTTAGCTTTTCTGTGAAGATTATCCCGTTTCCAACGAAATCTTCAAAGAGGCCCAAACATCCACTTGCAGATGCCACCGAAAGAGTGTTTGGAAACTGCTGTTTGAAAAGGAACCTCCAACTCTGTGAGTTGAATGCAGTCATCACAAACAAGTTTCTGACAATGCTTCTCTCTAGTTTTTACGTGACGATAATTCGTTTTCCACCACAGGCCTGAAATCTCTCCAAATGTCCACTTGCAGACCCTACGAAAAGCATGTTTCTCATCTGCTCTATGAAAAGCAACGTGAAACTCTGTGATTTGGACACAAACATCACAGAGAAGTTTCTGAGAATGCTTCCGTTTAGTTTTTATGTGAAGATATTCCCGTTTCCAAAGACATCTTCAAACAGGACCACATATCCAGTTGCAGATTCCACAAAAAGAGAGATTCAAAACTGCTCTATCCATAGGAGGGTTCAACGCTTTGAGTTGAATGGAATCATCACAGAGAAGTTTCTGAGAAGGCTTCTGTCTAGATTTTATTTGAAGATGTACCCGTTTTGAACGAAGGCCAAAGAGTGGTCCAAATATCCACCTGCAGATCCTACAAAAAGAGTGTTCCAAAGCTGAACTATCAAAGGAAGGTTCAACTCTGGGATTTGAATGCAAATATCACAAAGAATTTTGTGAGAATGCTTCCGTTTAGTTAGGTGCAGTTATCCCGTTTCCAACGAAATCCTCAGAGAGGTCCAAATATCCACTCGCAGATTCTACAGAAAGTGTGTTTCAAACCTTCTCCATCCAAAGGAATGTTCAGCTCTGTGTGTTAAACTCAATCATCACAAAGTATTTTCTGAGAATGCTTCTGTCTAGATTTTATGTGAAGCTCTTCCATTTACTACCATAGGCCTCAAAGCGCTCCAAATCTCCACTAGCAGATTCTACAACAAGGGTGTTTCCAAACTGCTCTGTCAATAGGAATGCTCCACTCCGTGAGGTGAATGCAATCATCACAACGTAGTTTCTGAGAAGGCTTCTGTGTAGTTCTTATATGAAGATATTTCCTTTTCCACCATAGGCCTCAAACTGCCTACATATTTCCCTTTGCAGATTCTGCAAAAAGACTGTTTCCAAACTGCTCCATGAAAATAAATGTTCAAATCTCTGTGATGAATGCATACATCACAAAAAGTTTCTCAGAAAGCTTCTGTGTAATTTTTATGTGAAGATGATTCCGTTTCCAACGAAACCCTTCAAAGAGGTCTGCATGTCCCCTTGCAGATTCCAGAGAAAGAGAGTTTCAAAACTGCGCTCTCAAAAGGAGTGTTCAACTCTGTGAGTTGAATGCAGTCATCACAGAAAAGTTTCTGAGAATGCTTCTGTCTAGATGTTATGTGAAGGTATACCCGTTTCGAACGAAGTCCACAGAGTGGTCCGAATATCCACTTGTAGATCCTGCAAAAAGAGTGTTTCCAACCTGAACTTTCAAAGGAAGGTTCAATTCTGGGATTTCAATGCAAACATCACAAGAAGATTCTGAGACTGCTTCTGTTTACTTAGCTGAAATTATCCCGTTTGCAACGAATTCCTCAGACAGGTCCAAATATCCACTTGCAGATTGTACAGAAAGTGTGTTTCGAAAGTACTCCATCCCAAAGAAAGTACTGCTCTGTGAGTTCAACTCAATCATCCCAGAGAATTTTCTGAGAAAGCTTCTGTCTTGTTTTTATAGGAAGTTATTTCCTTTACTACGATAGGCCTCAAAGAAGTGCAGTTATCCACTTGCAGTTTCTACAAAAAGAGTGTTTCAAACCTGAACTATCAAAGAAAGGTTCAACACTGTGGGTTGAATGCAAACATCACGAAGAAGGTTCTGAGAATGCTTCTGTTTAGTTCTGTGCGGTTTATCCCGTTTCCAACGAAATCCTCAGGGAGGCCCAAGTATCCGCTTGCGGATCCTACAGATAGTGTGTTTCCAAACTGCTCCATCCAAAGGAATGTTCAGCCCTGTGAGTTAAACTCAGTCGTCACAAAGAGTTTTCTGAGAATGCTGCTGTCTAGTTTTTATATGAAGCTGTTTCCTTTACTACCATAGGCCTCAAAGCGGTCCATATCTCCACTTGCAGATTCTACACAACGAGAGTTTCCAAAGTGCTCTCTGAAAGGGAATGTTCAACTCTGTGTCTTGAATGCAATCGTCACAAAGTAGTTTCTGAGAATGCATCTATCTAGTTCTTATGGGAAGATAATTCCTTTTCCACCACAGGCCTCCAAGCCCTCCAAATATCCACTTGCAGATTCTAGAAAAAGAGTGTTTCAAAGCTTCTCTCTCAAAAGGAAAGTTCAACTCTGTGAGTTGAAAGCAAACATCACAAAGAAGTTTCTGAGAATGCTTCTGTTTAGCTTTTCTGTGAAGATTATCCCGTTTCCAACGAAATCTTCAAAGAGGCCCAAACATCCACTTGCAGATGCCACAGAAAGAGTGTTTGGAAACTGCTGTTTGAAAAGGAACCTTCAACTCTGTGAGTTGAATGCAGTCATCACAAACAAGTTTCTGACAATGCTTCTCTCTAGTTTTTACGTGACGATAATTCGTTTTCCACCACAGGCCTGAAAGCTCTCCAAATGTCCACTTGCAGACCCTATGAAAAGCATGTTTCTCATCTGCTCTATGAAAAGCAACGTGAAGCTCTGTGAGTTGAACACAAACATCACAGAGAAGTTTCTGAGAATGCTTCTGTTTAGTTTTTATGTGAAGATATTCCCGTTTCCAAAGACATCTTCAAAGAGGACCACATATCCACTTGCAGATTCCACAAAAAGAGAGATTCAAAACTGCTCTATCCATAGGAGGGTTCAACGCTTTGAGTTGAATGCAATCGTCACAGAGAAGTTTCTGAGAAGCTTCTGTCTAGATTTTATGCGAAGATATAACCGTTTCGAACGAAGGCCACAGAGTGGTCCAAATAGCCACTTGCAGATCCTACAAAAAGAGTGTTTCAAACCTGAACTATCAAAGGAAGGTTCAACTCTGGGATTTGAATGCAAACATCACCAAGAAGTTTCTGAGAATGCTTTCGTTTAGTTAGGTGCAGTTATCCCGTTTCCAACGAAATCCTCAGAGAGGTCCAAATATCCACTCGCAGATTCTACAGAAAGTGTGTTTCAAACCTTCTCCATCCAAAGGAATGTTCAGCTCTGTGTGTTAAACTCAATCATCACAAAGTATTTTCTGAGAATGCTTCTGTCTAGATTTTATGTGAAGCTCTTCCCTTTACTACCATAGGCCTCAAAGCGCTCCAAATCTCCACTAGCCGATTCTACAAGAAGAGTGTTTCCAAACTGCTCTGTCAATAGGAATGCTCCACTCCGTGAGGTGAATGCAATCATCACAAAGTAGTTTCTGAGAAGGCTTCTATCTAGTATTTATGTGGAGATATTTCCTTTTCCACCACAAACCTCACAGCCCTCCCAATGTCCACTTGCAGATTCTAGAAAAAGAGTGTTTCATAGCTGCTCTTTCCGAAGGAAAGTTCAACTCTGGAAGTTGAATACAAACATCACCAAGGAGTTCCTGAGAATGCTTCTGTGTAATTTTTATGTGAAGATGATTCCGTTTCCAACGAAACCTTCAAAGAGGTCTGCATGTCCCCTTGCAGATTCCAGAGAAAGAGAGTTTCCAAACTGCGCTCTCAAAAGGAGTGTTCAACTCTGTGAGTTGAATGCAGTCATCACAGAAAAGTTTCTGAGAATGCTTCTGTCTAGATGTTATGTGAAGATATACCCGTTTCGAACGAAGTCCACAGAGTGGTCCGAATATCCACTTGTAGATCCTGCAAAAAGAGTGTTTCAAACCTGAACTTTCAAAGGAAGGTTCAATTCTGGGATTTGAATGCAAACATCACAAGAAGATTCTGAGACTGCTTCTGTTTACTTAGCTGAAATTATCCCGTTTGCAACGAATTCCTCAGACAGGTCCGAATATCCACTTGCAGATTCTACAGAAAGTGTGTTTCGAAACTACTCCATCCCAAGGAAAGTACTGCTCTGTGAGTTCAACTCAATCATCCCAGAGAATTTTCTGAGAAAGCTTCTGTCTTGTTTTTATAGGAAGTTATTTCCTTTACTACGATAGGCCTCAAAGAAGTGCAGTTATCCACCTGCAGTTTCTACAAAAAGAGTGTTTCAAACCTGAACTATCAAAGAAAGGTTCAACACTGTGGGTTGAATGCAAACATCACGAAGAAGGTTCTGAGAATGCTTCTGTTTAGTTCTGTGCGGTTTATCCCGTTTCCAACGAAATCCTCAGGGAGGCCCAAGTATCCGCTTGCAGATCCTACAGATAGTGTGTTTCCAAACTGCTCCATCCAAAGGAATGTTCAGCCCTGTGAGTTAAACTCAGTCGTCACAAAGAGTTTTCTGAGAATGCTGCTGTCTAGTTTTTATACGAAGCTGTTTCCTTTACTACCATAGGCCTCAAAGCGGTCCATATCTCCACTTGCAGATTCTACACAACGAGAGTTTCCAAAGTGCTCTCTGAAAGGGAATGTTCACCTCTGTGACTTGAATGCAATCGTCACAAAGTAGTTTCTGAGAATGCATCTATCTAGTTCTTACGGGAAGATAATTCCTGTTCCACCTCAGGCCTCAATGCCCTCCAAATATCCACTTGCAGATTCTAGAAAAAGAGTGTTTCAAAGCTTCTCTCTCAAAAGGAAAGTTCAACTCTGTGAGTTGAAAGCAAACATCACAAAGAAGTTTCTGAGCATGCTTTCTGTTTAGCTTTTCTGTGAAGATTATCCCGTTTCCAACGAAATCTTCAAAGAGGCCCAAACATCCACTTGCAGATGCCACAGAAAGAGTGTTTGGAAACTGCTGTTTGAAAAGGAACCTTCAACTCTGTGAGTTGAATGCAGTCATCACAAACAAGTTTCTGACAATGCTTCTCTCTAGTTTTTACGTGACGATAATTCGTTTTCCACCACAGGCCTGAAAGCTCTCCAAATGTCCACTTGCAGACCCTACGAAAAGCATGTTTCTCATCTGCTCTATGAAAAGCAACGTGAAACTCTGTGAGTTGAACACAAACATCACAGAGAAGTTTCTGAGAATGCTTCTGTTTAGTTTTTATGTGAAGATATTCCCGTTTCCAAAGACATCTTCAAAGAGGACCACATATCCACTTGCAGATTCCACAAAAAGAGAGATTCAAAACTGCTCTATCCATAGGAGGGTTCAACTCTTTGGGTTGAATGCAATCGTCACAGAGAAGTTTCTGAGAAGGCTTCTGTCTAGATTAAATTTGAAGATGTACCCTTTTCGAACGAAGGCCAAAGAGTGGTCCAAATATCCACCTGCAGATCCTACAAAAAGAGTGTTTCAAAGCTGAACTATCAAAGGAAGGTTCAACTCTGGGATTTGAATGCAAACATCACAAAGAATTTTGTGAGAATGCTTCCGTTTAGTTAGGTGCAGTTATCCCGTTTCCAACGAAATCCTCAGAGAGGTCCAAATATCCACTCGCAGATTCTATAGAAAGTGTGTTTCAAACCTTCTCCATCCAAAGGAATGTTCAGCTCTGTGTGTTAAACTCAATCATCACAAAGTATTTTCTGAGAATGCTTCTGTCTAGATTTTATGTGAAGCTCTTCCCTTTACTACCATAGGCCTCAAAGCGCTCCAAATCTCCACTAGCAGATTCTACAACAAGAGTGTTTCCAAACTGCTCTGTCAATAGGAATGCTCCACTCCGTGAGGTGAATGCAATCATCACAAAGTAGTTTCTGAGAAGGCTTCTATCTAGTATTTACGTGGAGATATTTCCTTTTCCACCACAATCCTCACAGCCCTCCCAATCTCCACTTGCAGATTCTAGAAAAAGAGTGTTTCATAGCTGCTCTTTCCGAAGGAAAGTTCAACTCTGGAAGTTGAATACAAACATCACCAAGGAGTTCCTGAGAATGCTTCTGTGTAATTTTTATGTGAAGATGATTCCGTTTCCAACGAAACCTTCAAAGAGGTCTGCATGTCCCCTTGCAGATTCCAGAGAAAGAGAGTTTCAAAACTGCGCTCTCAAAAGGAGTGTTCAACTCTGTGAGTTGAATGCAGTCATCACAGAAAAGTTTCTGAGAATGCTTCTGTCTAGATGTTATGTGAAGATATACCCGTTTCGAACGAAGTCCACAGAGTGGTCCGAATATCTACTTGTAGATCCTGCAAAAAGAGTGTTTCCAACCTGAACTTTCAAAGGAAGGTTCAATTCTGGGATTTGAATGCAAACATCACAAGAAGATTCTGAGACTGCTTCTGTTTACTTAGCTGAAATTATCCCGTTTGCAACGAATTCCTCAGACAGGTCCAAATATCCACTTGCAGATTCTACAGAAAGTGTGTTTCGAAACTACTCCATCCCAAGGAAAGTAGTGCTCTGTGAGTTCTACTCAATCATCCCAGAGAATTTTCTGAGAAAGCTTCTGTCTTGTTTTTATAGGAAGTTATTTCCTTTACTACGATAGGCCTCAAAGAAGTGCAGTTATCCACTTGCAGTTTCTACAAAAAGAGTGTTTCAAACCTGAACTATCAAAGAAAGGTTCAACACTGTGGGTTGAATGCAAACATCACGAAGAAGGTTCTGAGAATGCTTCTGTTTAGTTCTGTGCGGTTTATCCCGTTTCCAACGAAATCCTCAGGGTAGGCCCAAGTATCCGCTTGCAGATCCTACAGATAGTGTGTTTCCAAACTGCTCCATCCAAAGGAATGTTCAGCCCTGTGAGTTAAACTCAGTCGTCACAAAGAGTTTTCTGAGAATGCTGCTGTCTAGTTTTTATATGAAGCTGTTTCCTTTACTACCATAGGCCTCAAAGCGGTCCATATCTGCACTTGCAGATTCTACAAAACGAGAGTTTCCAAAGTGCTCTCTGAAAGGAAATGTTCACCTCTGTGACTTGAATGCAATCGTCACAAAGTAGTTTCTGAGAATGCATCTATCTAGTTCTTACGGGAAGATAATTCCTTTTCCACCACAGGCCTCAAAGCCCTCCAAATATCCACTTGCAGATTCTAGAAAAAGAGTGTTTCAAAGCTTCTCTCTCAAAAGGAAAGTTCAACTCTGTGAGTTGAAAGCAAACATCACAAAGAAGTTTCTGAGAATGCTTCTGTTTAGCTTTTCTGTGAAGATTATCCCGTTTCCAACGAAATCTTCAAAGAGGCCCAAACATCCACTTGCAGATGCCACAGAAAGAGTGTTTGGAAACTGCTGTTTGAAAAGGAACCTTCAACTCTGTGAGTTGAATGCAGTCATCACAAACAAGTTTCTGACAATGCTTCTCTCTAGTTTTTACGTGACGATAATTCGTTTTCCACCACAGGCCTGAAAGCTCTCCAAATGTCCACTTGCAGACACTACGAAAAGCATGTTTCTCATCTGCTCTATGAAAAGCAACGTGAAACTCTGTGAGTTGAACACAAACATCACAGAGAAGTTTCTGAGAATGCTTCCGTTTAGTTTTTATGTGAAGATATTCCCGTTTCCAAAGACATCTTCAAAGAGGACCACATATCCACTTGCAGATTCCACAAAAAGAGAGATTCAAAACTGCTCTATCCATAGGAGGGTTCAACTCTCTGAGTTGAATGCAATCGTCACAGAGAAGTTTCTGAGAAGGCTTCTGTCTAGATTTTATTTGAAGATGTACCCGTTTTGAACGAAGGCCAAAGAGTGGTCCAAATATCCACCTGCAGAGCCTACAAAAAGAGTGTTTCAAAGCTGAACTATCAAAGGAAGGTTCAACTCTGGGATTTGAATGCAAACATCACAAAGAATTTTGTGAGAATGCTTCCGTTTAGTTAGGTGCAGTTATCCCGTTTCCAACGAAATCCTCAGAGAGGTCCAAATATCCACTCGCAGATTCTACAGAAAGTGTGTTTCAAACCTTCTCCATCCAAAGGAATGTTCAGCTCTGTGTGTTAAACTCAATCATCACAAAGTATTTTCTGAGAATGCTTCTGTCTAGATTTTATGTGAAGCTCTTCCCTTTACTACCATAGGACTCAAAGCGCTCCAAATCTCCACTAGCCGATTCTACAAGAAGAGTGTTTACAAACTGCTCTGTCAATAGGAGTGCTCCACTCCGTGAGGTGAATGCAATCATCACAAAGTAGTTTCTGAGAAGGCTTCTATCTAGTATTTATGTGGAGATATTTCCTTTTCCACCACAAACCTCACAGCCCTCCCAATGTCCACTTGCAAATTCTAGAAAAAGAGTGTTTCATAGCTGTTCTTTCCGAAGGAAAGTTCAACTCTGGAAGTTGAATACAAACATCACCAAGGAGTTCCTGAGGATGCTTCTGTGTAATTTTTATGTGAAGATGATTCCCTTTCCAACGAAACCTTCAAAGAGGTCTGCATGTCCCCTTGCAGATTCCAGAGAAAGAGAGTTTCAAAACTGCGCTCTCAAAAGGAGTGTTCAACTCTGTGAGTTGAATGCAGTCATCACAGAAAAGTTTCTGAGAATGCTTCTGTCTAGATGTTATGTGAAGATATACCCGTTTCGAACGAAGTCCACAGAGTGGTCCGAATATCCACTTGTAGATCCTGCAAAAAGAGTGTTTCCAACCTGAACTTTCAAAGGAAGGTTCAATTCTGGGATTTGAATGCAAACATCACAAGAAGATTCTGAGACTGCTTCTGTTTACTTAGCTGAAATTATCCCGTTTGCAACGAATTCCTCAGACAGGTCCAAATATCCACTTGCAGATTCTACAGAAAGTGTGTTTCGAAACTACTCCATCCCAAGGAAAGTACTGCACTGTGAGTTCAACTCAATCATCCCAGAGAATTTTCTGAGAAAGCTTCTGTCTTGTTTTTATAGGAAGTTATTTCCTTTACTACGATAGGCCTCAAAGAAGTGCAGTTATCCACTTGCAGTTTCTACAAAAAGAGTGTTTCAAACCTGAACTATCAAAGAAAGGTTCAACACTGTGGGTTGAATGCAAACATCACGAAGAAGGTTCTGAGAATGCTTCTGTTTCGTTCTGTGCGGTTTATCCCGTTTCCAACGCAATCCTCAGAGAGGCCCAAGTATCCGCTTGCAGATCCTACAGATAGTGTGTTTCCAAACTGCTCCATCCAAAGGAATGTTCAGCCCTGTGAGTTAAACTCAGTCGTCACAAAGAGTTTTCTGAGAATGCTGTCTAGTTTTTATATGAAGCTGTTTCCTTTACTACCATAGGCCTCAAAGCGGTCCATATCTCCACTTGCAGATTCTACACAACGAGAGTTTCCAAAGTGCTCTCTGAAAGGGAATGTTCACCTCTGTGACTTGAATGCAATCGTCACAAAGTAGTTTCTGAGAATGCATCTATCTAGTTCTTACGGGAAGATAATTCCTTTTCCACCTCAGGCCTCAAAGCCCTCCAAATATCCACTTGCAGATTCTAGAAAAAGAGTGTTTCAAAGCTTCTCTCTCAAAAGGAAAGTTCAACTCTGTGAGTTGAAATCAAACATCACAAAGAAGTTTCTGAGAATGCTTCTGTTTAGCTTTTCTGTGAAGATTATCCCGTTTCCAACGAAATCTTCAAAGAGGCCCAAACATCCACTTGCAGATGCCACAGAAAGAGTGTTTGGAAACTGCTGTTTGAAAAGGAACCTTCAACTCTGTGAGTTGAATGCAGTCATCACAAACAAGTTTCTGACAATGCTTCTCTCTAGTTTTTACGTGACGATAATTCGTTTTCCACCACAGGCCTGAAATCTCTCCAAATGTCCACTTGCAGACCCTACGAAAAGCATGTTTCTCATCTGCTCTATGAAAAGCAACGTGAAACTCTGTGAGTTGAACACAAACATCACAGAGAAGTTTCTGAGAATGCTTCTGTTTAGTTTTTATGTGAACATATTCCCGTTTCCAAAGACATCTTCAAAGAGGACCACATATCCACTTGCAGATTCCACAAAAAGAGAGATTCAAAACTGCTCTATCCATAGGAGGGTTCAACGCTTTGAGTTGAATGCAATCATCACAGAGAAGTTTCTGAGAAGGCTTCTGTCTAGATTTTATTTGAAGATGTACCCGTTTCGAACGAAGGCCAAAGAGTAGGCCAAATATCCACCTGCAGATCCTACAAAAAGAGTGTTTCAAAGCTGAACTATCAAAGGAAGGTTCAACTCTGGGATTTGAATGCAAACATCAC
The DNA here is from genome assembly GCF_000001405.40 of Homo sapiens. Classification (NCBI taxonomy): domain Eukaryota; kingdom Metazoa; phylum Chordata; class Mammalia; order Primates; family Hominidae; genus Homo; species Homo sapiens. Next base: position 23,183,211 of record NC_000017.11, on the reverse strand, counting down.
AAAGAATTTTGTGAGAATGCTTCCGTTTAGTTAGGTGCAGTTATCCCGTTTCCAACGAAATCCTCAGAGAGGTCCAAATATCCACTCGCAGATTCTACAGAAAGTGTGTTTCAAACCTTCTCCCTCCAAAGGAATGTTCAGCTCTATGTGTTAAACACAATCATCACAAAGAATTTTCTGAGAATGCTTCTGTCTAGATTTTATGTGAAGCTCTTCCCTTTACTACCATAGGCCTCAAAGCGCTCCAAATCTCCACTAGCCGATTCTACAAGAAGAGTGTTTCCAAACTGCTCTGTCAATAGGAATGCTCCACTCCGTGAGGTGAATGCAGTCATCACAAAGTAGTTTCTGAGAAGGCTTCTATCTAGTATTTATGTGGAGATATTTCCTTTTCAACCACAAACCTCACAGCCCTCCCAATGTCCACTTGCAGATTCTAGAAAAAGAGTGTTTCATAGCTGCTCTTTCCGAAGGAAAGTTCAACTCTGGAAGTTGAATACAAACATCACCAAAGAGTTCCTGAGGATGCTTCTGTGTAATTTTTATGTGAAGATGATTCCGTTTCCAACGAAACCTTCAAAGAGGTCTGCATGTCCCCTTGCAGATTCCAGAGAAAGAGAGTTTCAAAACTGCGCTCTCAAAAGGAGTGTTCAACTCTCTGAGTTGAATGCAGTCATCACAGAAAAGTTTCTGAGAATGCTTCTGTCTAGATGTTATGTGAAGATATACCCGTTTCGAACGATGTCCACAGAGTGGTCCGAATATCCACTTGTAGATCCTGCAAAAAGAGTGTTTCCAACCTGAACTTTCAAAGGAAGGTTCAATTCTGGGATTTGAATGCAAACATCACAAGAAGATTCTGAGACTGCTTCTGTTTACTTAGCTGAAATTATCCCGTTTGCAACGAATTCCTCAGACAGGTCCAAATATCCACTTGCAGATTCTACAGAAAGTGTGTTTCGAAACTACTCCATCCCAAGGAAAGTACTGCTCTGTGAGTTCAACTCAATCATCCCAGAGAATTTTCTGAGAAAGCTTCTGTCTTGTTTTTATAGGAAGTTATTTCCTTTACTACGATAGGCCTCAAAGAAGTGCAGTTATCCAATTGCAGTTTCTACAAAAAGAGTGTTTGAAACCTGAACTATCAAAGAAAGGTTCAACACTGTGGGTTGAATGCAAACATCACGAAGAAGGTTCTGAGAATGCTTCTGTTTAGTTCTGTGCGGTTTATCCCGTTTCCAACGAAATCCTCAGAGAGGCCCAAGTATCCGCTTGCAGATCCTACAGATAGTGTGTTTCCAAACTGCTCCATCCAAAGGAATGTTCAGCCCTGTGAGTTAAACTCAGTCGTCACAAAGAGTTTTCTGAGAATGCTGCTGTCTAGTTTTTATATGAAGCTGTTTCCTTTACTACCATAGGCCTCAAAGCGGTGCATATCTCCACTTGCAGATTCTACACAACGAGAGTTTCCAAAGTGCTCTCTGAAAGGGAATGTTCACCTCTGTGACTTGAATGCATTCGTCACAAAGTAGTTTCTGAGAATGCATCTATCTAGTTCTTACGGGAAGATAATTCCTGTTCCACCTCAGGCCTCAAAGCCCTCCAAATATCCACTTGCAGATTCTAGAAAAAGAGTGTTTCAAAGCTTCTCTCTCAAAAGGAAAGTTCAACTCTGTGAGTTGAAAGCAAACATCACAAAGAAGTTTCTGAGCATGCTTCTGTTTAGCTTTTCTGTGAAGATTATCCCGTTTCCAACGAAATCTTCAAAGAGGCCCAAACATCCACTTGCAGATGCCACAGAAAGAGTGTTTGGAAACTGCTGTTTGAAAAGGAACCTTCAACTCTGTGAGTTGAATGCAGTCATCACAAACAAGTTTCTGACAATGCTTCTCTCTAGTTTTTACGTGACGATAATTCGTTTTCCACCACAGGCCTGAAATCTCTCCAAATGTCCACTTGCAGACCCTACGAAAAGCATGTTTCTCATCTGCTCTATGAAAAGCAACGTGAAACTCTGTGAGTTGAACACAAACATCACAGAGAACTTTCTGAGAATGCTTCTGTTTAGTTTTTATGTGAAGATATTCCCGTTTCCAAAGACATCTTCAAAGAGGACCACATATCCACTTGCAGATTCCACAAAAAGAGAGATTCAAAACTGCTCTATCCATAGGAGGGTTCAACGCTTTGAGTTGAATGCAATCGTCACAGAGAAGTTTCTGAGAAGGCTTCTGTCTAGATTTTATTTGAAGATGTACCCGTTTCGAACGAAGGCCAAAGAGTGGTCCAAATATCCACCTGCAGATCCTACAAAAAGAGTGTTTCAAAGCTGAACTATCAAAGGAAGGTTCAACTCTGGGATTTGAATGCAAACATCACAAAGAATTTTGTGAGAATGCTTCCGTTTAGTTAGGTGCAGTTATCCCGTTTCCAACGAAATCCTCAGAGAGGTCCAAATATCCACTCGCAGATTCTATAGAAAGTGTGTTTCAAACCTGCTCCATCCAAAGTAATGTTCAGCTCTGTGTGTTAAACTCAATCATCACAAAGTATTTTCTGAGAATGCTTCTGTCTAGATTTTATGTGAAGCTCTTCCCTTTACTACCATAGGCCTCAAAGCGGTCCAAATCTCCACTAGCAGCTTCTACAACAAGAGGGTTTCCAAACTGCTCTGTCAATAAGAATGCTCCACTGCGTGAGGTGAATGCAATCATCACCAAGAAGTTTCTGAGAAGGCTTCTATCTAGTATTTATGTGGAGATATTTCCTTTTCCACCACAAACCTCACAGCCCTCCCAATGTCCACTTGCAGATTCTGGAAAAAGAGTGTTTCATAGCTGCTCTTTCCGAAGCAAAGTTCAACTCTGGAAGTTGAATACAAACATCACCAAGGAGTTCCTGAGAATGCTTCTGTGTAATTTTTATGTGAAGATGATTCCGTTTCCAACGAAACCTTCAAAGAGGTCTGCATGTCCCCTTGCAGATTCCAGAGAAAGAGAGTTTCAAAACTGCGCTCTCAAAAGGAGTGTTCAACTCTGTGAGTTGAATGCAGTCATCACAGAAAAGTTTCTGAGAATGCTTCTGTCTAGATGTTATGTGAAGATATACCCGTTTCGAACGAAGTCCACAGAGTGGTCCGAATATCCACTTGTAGATCCTGCAAAAAGAGTGTTTCCAACCTGAACTTTCAAAGGAAGGTTCAATTCTGGGATTTGAATGCAAACATCACAAGAAGATTCTGAGACTGCTTCTGTTTACTTAGCTGAAATTATCCCGTTTGCAACGAATTCCTCAGACAGGTTCAAATATCCACTTGCAGATTCTACAGAAAGTGTGTTTCGAAACTACTCCATCCCAAGGAAAGTACTGCTCTGTGAGTTCAAGTCAATCATCCCAGAGAATTTTCTGAGAAAGCTTCTGTCTTGTTTTTATAGGAAGTTATTTCCTTTACTACGATAGGCCTCAAAGAAGTGCAGTTATCCACTTGCAGTTTCTACAAAAAGAATGTTTCAAACCTGAACTATCAAAGAAAGGTTCAACACTGTGGGTTGAAGGCAAACATCACGAAGAAGGTTCTGAGAATGCTTCTGTTTAGTTCTGTGCGGTTTATCCCGTTTCCAACGAAATCCTCAGGGAGGCCCAAGTATCCGCTTGCAGATCCTACAGATAGTGTGTTTCCAAACTGCTCCATCCAAAGGAATGTTCAGCCCTGTGAGTTAAACTCAGTCGTCACAAAGAGTTTTCTGAGAATGCTGCTGTCTAGTTTTTATATGAAGCTGTTTCCTTTACTACCATAGGCCTCAAAGCGGTCCATATCTCCACTTGCAGATTCTACACAACGGGGGTTTCCAAAGTGCTCTCTGAAAGGGAATGTTCACCTCTGTGACTTGAATGCAATCGTCACAAAGTAGTTTCTGAGAATGCATCCATCTAGTTCTTACGGGAAGATAATTCCTTTTCCACCACAGGCCTCAAAGCCCTCCAAATATCCACTTGCAGATTGTAGAAAAAGAGTGTTTCAAAGCTTCTCTCTCAAAAGGAAAGTTCAACTCTGTGAGTTGAAAGCAAACATCACAAAGAAGTTTCTGAGAATGCTTCTGTTTAGCTTTTCTGTGAAGATTATCCCGTTTCCAACGAAATCTTCAAAGAGGCCCAAACATCCACTTGCAGATGCCACAGAAAGAGTGTTTGGAAACTGCTGTTTGAAAAGGAACCTTCAACTCTGTGAGTTGAATGCAGTCATCACAAACAAGTTTCTGACAATGCTTCTCTCTAGTTTTTACGTGACGATAATTCGTTTTCCACCACAGGCCTGAAATCTCTCCAAACGTCCACTTGCAGACCCTACAAAAAGCATGTTTCTCCTCTGCTCTATGAAAAGCAACGTGAAACTCTGTGAGTTGAACACAAACATGACAGAGAAGTTTCTGAGAATGCTTCTGTTTAGTTTTAATGTGAAGATATTCCCGTTTCCAAAGACATCTTCAAAGAGGACCACATATCCACTTGCAGATTCCACAAAAAGAGAGATTCAAAACTGCTCTATCCATAGGAGGGTTCAACTCTTTGAGTTGAATGCAATCGTCACAGAGAAGTTTCTGAGAAGGCTTCTGTCTAGATTTTATATGAAGATGTACCCGTTTCGAAGGAAGGCCAAAGAGTGGTCCAAATATCCACTTGCAGATCCTACAAAAAGAGTGTTTCAAAGCTGAACTATCAAAGGAAGGTTCAACTCTGGGATTTGAAAGCAAACATCACGAAGAATTTTGTGAGAATGCTTCCGTTTAGTTAGGTGCAGTTATCCCGTTTCCAACGAAATCCTCAGAGAGGTCCAAATATCCACTCGCAGATTCTACAGAAAGTGTGTTTCAAACCTTCTCCATCCAAAGGAATGTTCAGCTCTGTGTGTTAAACTCAATCATCACAAAGTATTTTCTGAGAATGCTTCTGTCTAGATTTTATGTGAAGCTCTTCCCTTTACTACCATAGGCCTCAAAGCGCTCCAAATCTCCACTAGCCGATTCTACAAGAAGAGTGTTTCCAAACTGCTCTGTCAATAGGAATGCTCCAATCCGTGAGGTGAATGCAATCATCACAAAGTAGTTTCTGAGAAGGCTTCTATCTAGTATTTATGTGGAGATATTTCCTTTTCCACCACAAACCTCACAGCCCTCCCAATGTCCACTTGCAGATTCTAGAAAAAGAGTGTTTCATAGCTGCTCTTTCCGAAGGAAAGTTCAACTCTGGAAGTTGAATACAAACATCACCAAGGAGTTCCTGAGGATGCTTCTGTGTAATTTTTATGTGAAGATGATTCCGTTTCCAACGAAACCTTCAGAGAGGTCTGCATGTCCCCTTGCAGATTCCAGAGAAAGAGAGTTTCAAAACTGCGCTCTCAAAAGGAGTGTTCAACTCTGTGAGTTGAATGCAGTCATCACAGAAAAGTTTCTGAAAATGCTTCTGTCTAGATGTTATGTGAAGATATACCCGTTTCGAACGAAGTCCACAGTGTGGTCCGAATATCCACTTGTAGATCCTGCAAAAAGAGTGTTTCCAACCTGAACTTTCAAAGGAAGGTTCAATTCTGGGATTTCAATGCAACCATCACAAGAAGATTCTGAGACTGCTTCTGTTTACTTAGCTGAAATTATCCCGTTTGCAACGAATTCCTCAGACAGGTCCAAATATCCACTTGCAGATTCTACAGAAAGTGTGTTTCGAAACTACTCCATCCCAAGGAAAGTACTGCTCTGTGAGTTCAACTCAATCATCCCAGAGAATTTTCTGAGAAAGCTTCTGTCTTGTTTTTATAGGAAGTTATTTCCTTTACTACGATAGGCCTCAAAGAAGTGCAGTTATCCACTTGCAGTTTCTACAAAAAGAGTGTTTCAAACCTGAACTATCAAAGAAAGGTTCAACACTGTGGGTTGAATGCAAACGTCACGAAGAAGGTTCTGAGAATGCTTCTGTTTAGTTCTGTGCGGTTTATCCCATTTCCAACGAAATCCTCAGAGAGGCCCAAGTATCCGCTTGCAGATCTTACAGATAGTGTGTTTCCAAACTGCTCCATCCAAAGGAATGTTCAGCCCTGTGAGTTAAACTCAGTCGTCACAAAGAGTTTTCTGAGAATGCTGCTGTCTAGGTTTTATATGAAGCTGTTTCCTTTACTACCATAGGCCTCAAAGCGGTCCATATCTCCACTTGCAGATTCTACACAACGAGAGTTTCCAAAGTGCTCTGTGAAAGGGAATGTTCACCTCTGTGACTTGAATGCAATCGTCACAAAGTAGTTTCTGAGAATGCATCTATCTAGTTCTTACGGGAAGATAATTCCTTTTCCACCTCAGGCCTCAAAGCCCTCCAAATATCCACTTGCAGATTTTAGAAAAAGAGTGTTTCAAAGCTTCTCTCTCAAAAGGAAAGTTCAACTCTGTGAGTTGAAAGCAAACATCACAAAGAAGTTTCTGATAATGCTTCTGTTTAGCTTTTCTGTGAAGATTATCCCGTTTCCAACGAAATCTTCAAAGAGGCCCAAACATCCACTTGCAGATGCCACAGAAAGAGTGTTTGGAAACTGCTGTTTGAAAAGGAACCTTCAACTCTGTGAGTTGAATGCAGTCATCACAAACAAGTTTCTGACAATGCTTCTCTCTAGTTTTTACGTGACGATAATTCGTTTTCCACCAAAGGCCTGAAAGCTCTCCAAATGTCCACTTGCAGACCCTACGAAAAGCATGTTTCTCATCTGCTCTATGAAAAGCAACGTGAAACTCTGAGAGTTGAACACAAACATCACAGAGAAGTTTCTGAGAATGCTTCTGTTTAGCTTTTCTGTGAAGATTATCCCGTTTCCAACGAAATCTTCAAAGAGGCCCAAACATCCACTTGCAGATGCCACAAAAAGAGAGATTCAAAACTGCTCTATCCATAGGAGGGTTCAACGCTTTGAGTTGAATGCAATCGTCACAGAGAAGTTTCTGAGAAGGCTTCTGTCTAGATTTTATTTGAAGATGTACCCTTTTCGAACGAAGGCCAAAGAGTGGTCCAAATATCCACCTGTAGATCCTACAAAAAGAGTGTTTCAAAGCTGAACTATCAAAGGAAGTTTCAACTCTGGGATTTGAATGCAAACATCACAAAGAATTTTGTGAGAATGCTTCCGTTTAGTTAGGTGCAGTTATCCGGTTTCCAACGAAATCCTCAGAGAGGTCCAAATATCCACTCGCAGATTCTACAGAAAGTGTGGTTCAAACCTTCTCCATCCAAAGGAATGTTCAGCTCTGTGTGTTAAACTCAATCATCACAAAGTATTTTCTGAGAATGTTTCTGTCTAGATTTTATGTGAAGCTCTTCCCTTTACTACCATAGGCCTCAAAGCGCTCCAAATCTCCACTAGCAGATTCTACAACAAGACTGTTTCCAAACTGCTCTGTCAATAGGAATGCTCCACTCCGTGAGGTGAATGCAATCATCACAACGTAGTTTCTGAGAAGCCTTCTATCTAGTATTTACGTGGAGATATTTCCTTTTCCACCACAAACCTCACAGCCCTCCCAATGTCCACTTGTAGATTCTAGAAAAAGAGTGTTTCATAGCTGCTCTTTCCGAAGGAAAGTTCAACTCTGGAAGTTGAATACAAACATCACCAAGGAGTTCCTGAGAATGCTTCTGTGTAATTTTTATGTGAAGATGATTCCGTTTCCAACGAAACCTTCAAAGAGGTCTGCATGTCCCCTTGCAGATTCCAGAGAAAGAGAGTTTCAAAACTGCGCTCTCAAAAGGAGTGTTCAACTCTGTGAGTTGAATGCAGTCATCACAGAAAAGTTTCTGAGAATGCTTCTGTCTAGATGTTATGTGAAGATATACCCGTTTCGAACGAAGTCCACAGAGTGGTCCGAATATCCACTTGTAGATCCTGCAGAAAGAGTGTTTCCAACCTGAACTTTCAAAGGAAGGTTCAATTCTGGGATTTGAATGCAAACATCACAAGAAGATTCTGAGACTGCTTCTGTTTACTTAGCTGAAATTATCCCGTTTGCAACGAATTCCTCAGACAGGTCCAAATATCCACTTGCAGATTCTACAGAAAGTGTGTTTCGAAACTACTCCATCCCAAGGAAAGTACTGCTCTGTGAGTTCAACTCAATCATCCCAGAGAATTTTCTGAGAAAGCTTCTGTCTTGTTTTTATAGGAAGTTATTTCCTTTACTACGATAGGCCTCAAAGAAGTGCAGTTATCCACTTGCAGTTTCTACAAAAAGAGTGTTTCAAACCTGAACTATCAAAGAAAGGTTCAACACTGTGGGTTGAATGCAAACATCACGAAGAAAGTTCTGAGAATGCTTCTGTTTAGTTCTGTGCGGTTTATCCCGTTTCCAACGAAATCCTCAGGGAGGCCCAAGTATCCGCTTGCAGATCCTACAGATAGTGTGTTTCCAAACTGCTCCATCCAAAGGAATGTTCAGCCCTGTGAGTTAAACTCAGTCGTCACAAAGAGTTTTCTGAGAATGCTGCTGTCTAGTTTTTATATGAAGCTGTTTCCTTTACTACCATAGGCCTCAAAGCGGTCCATATCTCCACTTGCAGATTCTACACAACGAGAGTTTCCAAAGTGCTCTCTGAAAGGGAATGTTCACCTCTGTGACTTGAATGCAATCGTCACAAAGTAGTTTCCGAGAATGCATCTATCTAGTTCTTACGAGAAGATAATTCCTTTTCCACCTCAGGCCTCAAAGCCCTCCAAATATCCACTTGCAGATTCTAGAAAAAGAGTGTTTCAAAGCTTCTCTCTCAAAAGGAAAGTTCAACTCTGTGAGTTGAAAGCAAACATCACAAAGAAGTTTCTGAGCATGCTTCTGTTTAGCTTTTCTGTGAAGATTATCCCGTTTCCAACGAAATCTTCAAAGAGGCCCAAACATCCACTTGCAGATGCCACAGAAAGAGTGTTTGGAAACTGCTGTTTGAAAAGGAACCTTCAACTCTGTGAGTTGAATGCAGTCATCACAAACAAGTTTCTGACAATGCTTCTCTCTAGTTTTTACGTGACGATAATTCGTTTTCCACCACAGGCCTGAAATCTCTCCAAATGTCCACTTGCAGACCTTACGAAAAGCATGTTTCTCATCTGCTCTATGAAAAGCAACGTGAAACTCTGTGAGTTGAACACAAACATCACAGAGAAGTTTCTGAGAATGCTTCTGTTTAGTTTTTATGTGAAGATATTCCCGTTTCCAAAGACATCTTCAAAGAGGACCACATATCCACTTGCAGATTCCACAAAAAGAGAGATTCAAAACTGCTCTATCCATAGGAGGGTTCAACGCTTTGAGTTGAATGCAATCGTCACAGAGAAGTTTCTGAGAAGGCTTCTGTCTAGATTTCATTTGAAGATGTACCCGTTTCGAACGAAGGCCAAAGAGTCGTCCAAATATCCACTTGCAGAACCTACAAAAAGAATGTTTCAAAGCTGAACTATCAAAGGAAGGTTCAACTCTGGGATTTGAATGCAAACATCACAAAGAATTTTGTGAGAATGCTTCCGTTTAGTTAGGTGCAGTTATCCCATTTCCAACGAAATCCTCAGAGAGGTCCAAATATCCACTCGCAGATTCTACAGAAAGTGTGTTTCAAACCTTCTCCATCCAAAGGAATGTTCAGCTCTGTGTGTTAAACTCAATCATCACAAAGTATTTTCTGAGAATGCGTCTGTCTAGATTTTATGTGAAGCTCTTCCCTTTACTACCATAGGCCTCAAAGCGCTCCAAATCTCCACTAGCCGATTCTACAAGAAGAGTGTTTCCAAACTGCTCTGTCAATAGGAATGCTCCACTCCGTGAGGTGAATGCAATCATCACAAAGTAGCTTCTGAGAAGGCTTCTATCTAGTATTTATGTGGAGATATTTCCTTTTCCACCACAAACCTCACAGCCCTCCCAATGTCCACTTGCAGATTCTAGAAAAAGGGTGTTTCATAGCTGCTCTTTCCGAAGGAAAGTTCAACTCTGGAAGTTGAATACAAACATCACCAAGGAGTTCCTGAGAATGCTTCTGTGTAATTTTTATGTGAAGATGATTCCGTTTCCAACGAAACCTTCAAAGAGGTCTGCATGTCCCCTTGCAGATTCCAGAGAAAGAGAGTTTCAAAACTGCGCTCTCAAAAGGAGTGTTCAACTCTGTGAGTTGAATGCAGTCATCACAGAAAAGTTTCTGAGAATGCTTCTGTCTAGATGTTATGTGAAGATATACCCGTTTCGATCGAAGTCCACAGAGTGGTCCGAATATCCACTTGTAGATCCTGCAAAAAGAGTGTTTCCAACCTGAACTTTCAAAGGAAGGTTCAATTCTGGGATTTGAATGCAAACATCACAAGAAGATTCTGAGACTGCTTCTGTTTACTTAGCTGAAATTATCCCGTTTGCAACGAATTCCTCTGACAGGTCCAAATATCCACTTGTAGATTCTACAGAAAGTGTGTTTCGAAACTACTCCATCCCAAGGAAAGTACTGCTCTGTGAGTTCAACTCAATCATCCCAGAGAATTTTCTGAGAAAGCTTCTGTCTTGTTTTTATAGGAAGTTATTTCCTTTACTACGATAGGCCTCAAAGAAGTGCAGTTATCCACTTGCAGTTTCTACAAAAAGAGTGTTTCAAACCTGAACTATCAAAGAAAGGTTCAACAATGTGGGTTGAATGCAAACATCACGAAGAAGGTTCTGAGAATGCTTCTGTTTAGTTCTGTGCGGTTTATCCCGTTTCCAACGAAATCCTCAGAGAGGCCCAAGTATCCGCTTGCAGATCCTACAGATAGTGTGTTTCCAAACTGCTCCATCCAAAGGAATGTTCAGCCCTGTGAGTTAAACTCAGTCGTCACAAAGAGTTTTCTGAGAATGCTGGCTGTCTAGTTTTTATATGAAGCTGTTTCCTTTACTACCATAGGCCTCAAAGCGGTCCATATCTCCACTTGCAGATTCTACACAACGAGAGTTTCCAAAGTGCTCTGTGAAAGGGAATGTTCACCTCTGTGACTTGAATGCAATCGTCACAAAGTAGTTTCTGAGAATGCATCTATCTAGTTCTTACGGGAAGATAATTCCTTTTCCACCACAGGCCTCAAAGCCCTCCAAATATTCACTTGCAGATTCTAGAAAAAGAGTGTTTCAAAGCTTCTCTCTCAAAAGGAAAGTTCAACTCTGTGAGTTGAAAGCGAACATCACAAAGAAGTTTCTGAGAATGCTTCTGTTTAGCTTTTCTGTGAAGATTATCCCGTTTCCAACGAAATCTTCAAAGAGGCCCAAACATCCACTTGCAGATGCCACAGAAAGAGTGTTTGGAAACTGCTGTTTGAAAAGGAACCTTCAACTCTGTGAGTTGAATGCAGTCATCACAAACAAGTTTCTGACAATGCTTCCCTCTAGTTTTTACGTGACGATAATTCGTTTTCCACCACAGGCCTGAAATCTCTCCAAATGTCCACTTGCAGACCCTACGAAAAGCATGTTTCTCATCTGCTCTATGAAAAGCAACGTGAAACTCTGTGAGTTGAACACAAACATCACAGAGAAGTTTCCTGAGAATGCTTCTGTTTAGTTTTTATGTGAAGATATTCCCGTTTCCAAAGACATCTTCAAAGAGGACCACATATCCACTTGCAGATTCCACATAAAGAGAGATTCAAAACTGCTCTATCCATAGGAGGGTTCAACTCTTTGAGTTGAATGCAATCGTCACAGAGAAGTTTCTGAGAAGGCTTCTGTCTAGATTTTATTTGAAGATGTACCCTTTTCGAACGAAGGCCAAAGAGTGGTCCAAATATCCACCTGTAGATCCTACAAAAAGAGTGTTTCAAAACTGAACTATCAAAGGAAGGTTCAACTCTGGGATTTGAATGCAAACATCACAAAGAATTTTGTGAGAATGCTTCCGTTTAGTTAGGTGCAGTTATCCCGTTTCCAACGAAATCCTCAGAGAGGTCCAAATATCCACTCGCAGATTCTACAGAAAGTGTGTTTCAAACCTTCTCCATCCAAAGGAATGTTCAGCTCTGTGTGTTAAACTCAATCATCACAAAGTATTTTCTGAGAATGCTTCTGTCTAGATTTTATGTGAAGCTCTTCCCTTTACTACCATAGGCCTCAAAGCGCTCCAAATCTCCACTAGCAGATTCTACAACAAGAGTGTTTCCAAACTGCTCTGTCAATAGGAATGCTCCACTCCGTGAGGTGAATGCAATCATCACAAAGTAGTTTCTGAGAAGCCTTCTATCTAGTATTTATGTGGAGATATTTCCTTTTCCACCACAAACCTCACAGCCCTCCCAATGTCCACTTGCAGATTCTAGAAAAAGAGTGTTTCATAGCTGCTCTTTCCGAAGGAAAGTTCAACTCTGGAAGTTGAATACAGACATCCCCAAGGAGTTCCTGAGGATGCTTCTGTGTAATTTTTATGTGAAGATGATTCCGTTTCCAACGAAACCTTCAAAGAGGTCTGCATGTCCCCTTGCAGATTCCAGAGAAAGAGAGTTTCAAAACTGCGCTCTCAAAAGGAGTGTTCAACTCTGTGAGTTGAATGCAGTCATCACAGAAAAGTTTCTGAGAATGCTTCTGTCTAGATGTTATGTGAAGATATAGCCGTTTCGAACGAAGTCCACAGAGTGGTCCGAATATCCACTTGTAGATCCTGCAAAAAGAGTGTTTCCAACCTGAACTTTCAAAGGAAGGTTCAATTCTGGGATTTGAATGCAAACATCACAAGAAGATTCTGAGACTGCTTCTGTTTACTTAGCTGAAATTATCCCGTTTGCAACGAATTCCTCAGACAGGTCCAAATATCCACTTGCAGATTCTACAGAAAGTGTGTTTCGAAACTACTCCATCCCAAGGAAAGTACTGCTCTGTGAGTTCAACTCAATCATCCCAGAGAATTTTCTGAGAAAGCTTCTGTCTTGTTTTTATAGGAAGTTATTTCTTTTACTACGATAGGCCTCAAAGAAGTGCAGTTATCCACTTGCAGTTTCTACAAAAAGAGTGTTTCAAACCTGAACTATCAAGGAAAGGTTCAACACTGTGGGTTGAATGCAAACATCACGAAGAAGGATCTGAGAATGCTTCTATTTAGTTCTGTGTGGTTTATCCCGTTTCCAACGAAATCCTCAGAGAGTCCCAAGTATCCGCTTGCAGATCCTACAGATGGTGTGTTTCCAAACTGCTCCATCCAAAGGAATGTTCAGCCCTGTGAGTTAAACTCAGTCGTCACAAAGAGTTTTCTGAGAATGCTGCTGTCTAGTTTTTATATGAAGCTGTTTCCTTTACTACCATAGGCCTCAAAGCGGTCCATATCTCCACTTGCAGATTCTACACAACGAGAGTTTCCAAAGTGCTCTCTGAAAGGGAATGTTCACCTCTGTGACTTGAATGCAATCGTCACAAAGCAGTTTCTGAGAATGCATCTATCTAGTTCTTACGGGAATATAATTCCTTTTCCACCTCAGGCCTCAAAGCCCTCCAAATATCCACTTGCAGGTTCTAGAAAAAGAGTGTTTCAAAGCTTCTCTCTCAAAAGGAAAGTTCAACTCTGTGAGTTGAAAGCAAACATCACAAGGAAGTTTCTGAGAATGCTTCTGTTTAGCTTTTCTGTGAAGATTATCCCGTTTCCAACGAAATCTTCAAAGAGGCCCAATCATCCACTTGCAGATGCCACAGAAAGAGTGTTTGGAAACTGCTGTTTGAAAAGGAACCTTCAACTCCGTGAGTTGAATGCAGTCATCACAAACAAGTTTCTGACAATGCTTCTCTCTAGTTTTTACGTGACGATAATTCGTTTTCCACCGCAGGCCGGAAATCTCTCGAAATGTCCACTTGCAGACCCTACGAAAAGCATGTTTCTCATCTGCTCTATGAATAGCAACGTGAAACTCTGTGAGTTGAACACAAACATCACAGAGAAGTTTCTGAGAATGCTTCTGTTTAGTTTTTATGTGAAGATATTCCCGTTTCCAAAGACATCTTCAAAGAGGACCACATATCCACTTGCAGATTCCACAAAAAGAGAGATTCAAAACTGCTCTATCCATAGGAGGGTTCAACTCTTTGAGTTGAATGCAATCGTCACAGAGAAGTTTCTGAGAAGGCTTCTGTCTAGATTTTATTTGAAGATGTACCCGTTTCGAACGAAGGCCAAAGAGTGGTCCAAATATCCACCTGCAGAACCTACAAAAAGAGTGTTTCAAAGCTGAACTATCAAAGGAAGGTTCAACTCTGGGATTTGAATGCAAACATCACAAAGAATTTTGTGAGAATGCTTCCGTTTAGTTAGGTGCAGTTATCCCGTTTCCAACGAAATCCTCAGAGAGGTCCAAATATCCACTCGCAGATTCTACAGAAAGTGTGTTTCAAACCTTCTCCATCCAAAGGAATGTTCAGCTCTGTGTGTTAAACTCAATCATCACAAAGTATTTTCTGAGAATGCTTTCTGTCTAGATTTTATGTGAAGCTCTTCCCTTTACTACCATAGGCCTCAAAGCGCTCCAACTCTCCACTAGCCGATTCTACAAGAAGAGTGTTTCCAAACTGCTCTGTCAATAGGAATGCTCCACTCCGTGAGGTGAATGCAGTCATCACAAAGTAGTTTCTGAGAAGGCTTCTATCTAGTATTTATGTGGAGATATTTCCTTTTCCACCACAAACCTCACAGCCCTCCCAATGTCCACTTGCAGATTCTAGAAAAAGAGTGTTTCATAGCTGCTCTTTCCGAAGGAAAGTTCAACTCTGGAAGTTGAATACAAACATCACCAAGGAGTTCCTGAGGATGCTTCTGTGTAATTTTTATGTGAAGATGATTCCGTTTCCAATGAAACCTTCAAAGAGGTCTGCATGTCCCCTTGCAGATTCCAGAGAAAGAGAGTTTCAAAACTGCGCTCTCAAAAGGAGTGTTCAACTCTGTGAGTTGAATGCAGTCATCACAGAAAAGTTTCTGAGAATGCTTCTGTCTAGATGTTATGTGAAGATATACCCGTTTCAAACGAAGTCCACAGAGTGGTCCGAATATCCACTTGTAGATCCTGCAAAAAGAGTGTTTCCAACCTGAACTTTCAAAGGAAGGTTCAATTCTGGGATTTGAATGCAAACATCACAAGAAGATTCTGAGACTGCTTCTGTTTACTTAGCTGAAATTATCCCGTTTGCAACGAATTCCTCAGACAGGACCAAATATCCACTTGCAGATTCTACAGAAAGTGTGTTTCGAAACTACTCCATCCCAAGGAAAGTACTGCCCTGTGAGTTCAACTCAATCATCCCAGAGAATTTTCTGAGAAAGCTTCTGTCTTGTTTTTACAGGAAGTTATTTCCTTTACTATGATAGGCCTCAAAGAAGTGCAGTTATCCACTTGCAGTTTCTACAAAAAGAGTGTTTCAAACCTGAACTATCAAAGAAAGGTTCAACACTGTGGGTTGAATGCAAACATCACGAAGAAGGTTCTGAGAATGCTTCTGTTTAGTTCTGTGCGGTTTATCCCGTTTCCAACGAAATCCTCAGGGAGGCCCAAGTATCCGCTTGCAGATCCTACAGATAGTGTGTTTCCAAACTGCTCCATCCAAAGGAATGTTCAGCCCTGTGAGTTAAACTCAGTCGTCACAAAGAGTTTTCTGAGAATGCTGCTGTCTAGTTTTTATATGAAGCTGTTTCCTTTACTACCATAGGCCTCAAAGCGGTCCATATCTCCACTTGCAGATTCCACACAACGAGAGTTTCCAAAGTGCTCTCTGAAAGGGAATGTTCACCTCTGTGACTTGAAAGCAATCGTCACAAAGTAGTTTCTGAGAATGCATCTATCTAGTTCTTACGGGAAGATAATTCCTTTTCCACCTCAGGCCTCAAAGCCCTCCAAATATCCACTTGCAGATTCTAGAAAAAGAGTGTTTCAAAGCTTCTCTCTCAAAAGGAAAGTTCAACTCTGTGAGTTGAAAGCAAACATCACAAAGAAGTTTCTGAGAATGCTTCTGTTTAGCTTTTCTGTGAAGATTATCCCGTTTCCAACGAAATCTTCAAAGAGGCCCAAACATCCACTTGCAGATGCCACAGAAAGAGTGTTTGGAAACTGCTGTTTGAAAAGGAACCTTCAACTCTGTGAGTTGAATGCAGTCATCACAAACAAGTTTCTGACAATGCTTCTCTCTAGTTTTTACGTGACGATAATTCGTTTTCCACCACAGGCCTGAAATCTCTCCAAATGTCCACTTGCAGACCCTACGAAAAGCATATTTCTCATCTGCTCTATGAACAGGAACGTGAAACTCTGTGAGTTGAACACAAACATCACAGAGAAGTTTCTGAGAATGCTTCTGTTTAGTTTTTATGTGAAGATATTCCCGTTTCCAAAGACATCTTCAAAGAGGACCACACATCCACTTGCAGATTCCACAAAAAGAGAGATTCAAACCTGCTCTATCCATAGGAGGGTTCAACGCTGTGAGTTGAATGCAATCGTCACAGAGAAGTTTCTGAGAAGGCTTCTGTCTAGATTTTATTTGAAGATGTACCCGTTTCGAACGAAGGCCAAAGAGTGGTCCAAATATCCACCTGCAGATCCTACAAAAAGAGTGTTTCAAAGCTGAACTATCAAAGGAAGGTTCAACTCTGGGATTTGAATGCAAACATCACAAAGAATTTTGTGAGAATGCTTCCGTTTAGTTAGGTGCAGTTATCCCGTTTCCAACGAAATCCTCAGAGAGGTCCAAATATCCACTCGCAGATTCTACAGAAAGTGTGTTTCAAACCTTCTCCATCCAAAGGAATGTGCAGCTCTGTGTGTTAAACTCAATCATCACAAAGTATTTTCTGAGAATGCTTCTGTCTAGATTTTATGTGAAGCTCTTCCCTTTACTACCATAGGCCTCAAAGCGCTCCAAATCTCCGCTAGCCGATTCTACGAGAAGAGTGTTTCCAAACTGCTCTGTCAATAGGAATGCTCCACTCCGTGAGGTGAATGCAATCATCACAAAGTAGTTTCTGAGAAGGCTTCTATCTAGTATTTATGTGGAGATATTTCCTTTTCCACCACAAACCTCACAGCTCTCCCAATGTCCACTTGCAGATTCTAGAGAAAGTGTGTTTCATAGCTGCTCTTTCCGAAGGAAAGTTCAACTCTGGAAGTTGAATACAAACATCACCAAGGAGTTCCTGAGAATGCTTCTGTGTAATTTTTATGTGAAGATGATTCCGTTTCCAACGAAACCTTCAAAGAGGTCTGCATGTCCCCTTGCAGATTCCAGAGAAAGAGAGTTTCAAAACTGCGCTCTCAAAAGGAGTGTTCAACTCTGTGAGTTGAATGCAGTCATCACAGAAAAGTTTCTGAGAATGCTTCTGTCTAGATGTTATGTGAAGATATAGCCGTTTCGAACGAAGTCCACAGAGTGGTCCGAATATCCACTTGTAGATCCTGCAAAAAGAGTGTTTCCAACCTGAACTTTCAAAGGAAGGTTCAATTCTGGGATTTGAATGCAAACATCACAAGAAGATTCTGAGACTGCTTCTGTTTACTTAGCTGAAATTATCCCGTTTGCAACGAATTCCTCAGACAGGTCCAAATATCCACTTGCAGATTGTACAGAAAGTGTGTTTCGAAACTACTCCATCCCAAAGAAAGTACTGCTCTGTGAGTTCAACTCAATGATCCCAGAGAATTTTCTGAGAAAGCTTCTGTCTTGTTTTTATAGGAAGTTATTTCCTTTACTACGATAGGCCTCAAAGAAGTGCAGTTATCCACTTGCAGTTTCTACTAAAAGAGTGTTTCAAACCTGAACTATCAAAGAAAGGTTCAACACTGTGGGTTGAATGCAAACATCACGAAGAAGGTTCTGAGAATGCTTCTGTTTAGTTCTGTGCGGTTTATCCCGTTTCCAACGAAATCCTCAGGGAGGCCCAAGTATCCGCTTGCAGATCCTACAGATAGTATGTTTCCAAACTGCTCCATCCAAAGGAATGTTCAGCCCTGTGAGTTAAACTCAGTCGTCACAAAGAGTTTTCTGAGAATGCTGCTGTCTAGTTTTTATATGAAGCTGTTTCCTTTACTACCATAGGCCTCAAAGCGGTCCATATCTCGACTTGCAGATTCTACACAACGAGAGTTTCCAAAGTGCTCTGTGAAAGGGAATGTTCACATCTGGGACTTGAATGCAATCGTCACAAAGTATTTTCTGAGAATGCATCTATCTAGTTCTTACGGGAAGATAATTCCTTTTCCACCACAGGCCTCAAAGCCCTCCAAATATCCACTTGCAGATTCTTGAAAAAGAGTGTTTCAAAGCTTCTCTCTCAAAAGGAAAGTTCAACTCTGTGAGTTGAAAGCAAACATCACAAAGAAGTTTCTGAGAATGCTTCTGTTTAGCTTTTCTGTGAAGATTATCCCGTTTCCAACGAAATCTTCAAAGAGGCCCAAACATCCACTTACAGATGCCACAGAAAGAGTGTTTGGAAACTGGTGTTTGAAAAGGAACCTTCAACTCTGTGAGTTGAATGCAGTCATCACAAACAAGTTTCTGACAATGCTTCTCTCTAGTTTTTACGTGACGATAATTCGTTTTCCACCACAGGCCGGAAATCTCTCCAAATGTCCACTTGCAGACCCTACGAAAAGCATGTTTCTCATCTGCTCTATGAAAAGCAACGTGAAACTCTGTGAGTTGAACACAAACATCACAGAGAAGTTTCTGAGAATGCTTCTGTTTAGTTTTTATGTGAAGATATTCCCGTTTCCAAAGACATCTTCAAAGAGGACCACATATCCACTTGCAGATTCCAGAAAAAGAGAGATTCAAAACTGCTCTATCCATAGGAGGGTTCAACGCTTTGAGTTGAATGCAATCGTCACAGAGAAGTTTCTGAGAAGGCTTCTGTCTAGATTTTATTTGAAGATGTACCCGTTTCGAACGAAGGCCAAAGAGTGGTCTAAATATCCACCTGCAGATCCTACAAAAAGAGTGTTTCAAAGCTGAACTATCAAAGGAAGGTTCAACTCTGGGATTTGAATGCAAACATCACAAAGAATTTTGTGAGAATGCTTCCGTTTAGTTAGGTGCAGTTATCCCGTTTCCAACGAAATCCTCAGAGAGGTCCAAATATCCACTCGCAGATTCTACAGAAAGTGTGTTTCAAACCTTCTCCATCCAAAGGAATGTTCAGCTCTGTGTGTTAAACTCAATCATCACAAAGTATTTTCTGAGAATGCTTCTGTCTAGATTTTATGTGAAGCTCTTCCCTTTACTACCATAGGCCTCAAAGCGCTCCAAATCTCCACTAGCCGATTCTACAAGTAGAGTGTTTCCAAACTGCTCTGTCAATAGGAATGCTCCACTCCGTGAGGTGAATGCAATCATCACAAAGTAGTTTCTGAGAAGGCTTCTATCTAGTATTTATGTGGAGATATTTCCTTTTCCACCACAAACCTCACAGCCCTCCCAATGTCCACTTGCAGATTCTAGAAAAAGAGTGTTTCATAGCTGCTCTTTCCGAAGGAAAGTTCAACTCTGGAAGTTGAATACAAACATCACCAAGGAGTTCCTGAGGATGCATCTGTGTAATTTTTATGTGAAGATGATTCCGTTTCCAACGAAACCTTCAAAGAGGTCTGCATGTCCCCTTGCAGATTCCAGAGAAAGAGAGTTTCAAAACTGCGCTCTCAAAAGGAGTGTTCAACTCTGTGAGTTGAATGCAGTCATCACAGAAAAGTTTCTGAGAATGCTTCTGTCTAGATGTTATGTGAAGATATACCCGTTTCGAGCGAAGTCCACAGAGTGGTCCGAATATCCACTTGTAGATCCTGCAAAAAGAGTGTTTCCAACCTGAACTTTCAAAGGAAGGTTCCATTCTGGGATTTGAATGCAACCATCACAAGAAGATTCTGAGACTGCTTCTGTTTACTTAGCTGAAATTATCCCGTTTGCAACGAATTCCTCAGACAGGTCCAAATATCCACTTGCAGATTCTACAGAAAGTGTGTTTCGAAACTACTCCATCCCAAGGAAAAGTACTGCTCTGTGAGTTCAACTCAATCATCCCAGAGAATTTTCTGAGAAAGCTTCTGTCTTGTTTTTATAGGAAGTTATTTCCTTTACTACGATAGGCCTCAAAGAAGTGCAGTTATCCACTTGCAGTTTCTACAAAAAGAGTGTTTCAAACCTGAACTATCAAAGAAAGGTTCAACACTGTGGGTTGAATGCAAACATCACGAAGAAGGTTCTGAGAATGCTTCTGTTTAGTTCTGTGCGGTTTATCCCGTTTCCAACGAAATCCTCAGAGAGGCCCAAGTATCCGCTTGCAGATCCTACAGATAGTGTGTTTCCAAACTGCTCCATCCAAAGGAATGTTCAGCCCTGTGAGTTAAACTCAGTCGTCACAAAGAGTTTTCTGAGAATTCTTGCTGTCTAGTTTTTATATGAAGCTGTTTCCTTTACTACCATAGGCCTCAAAGCGGTCCATATCTCCACTTGCAGATTCTACACAACGAGAGTTTCCAAAGTGCTCTCTGAAAGGGAATGTTCACCTCTGTGACTTGAATGCAATCGTCACAAAGTAGTTTCTGAGAATGCATCTATCTAGTTCTTACGGGAAGATAATTCGTTTTCCACCACAGGCCTCAAAGCCCTCCAAATATCCACTTGCAGATTCTAGAAAAAGAGTGTTTCAAAGCTTCTCTCTCAAAAGGAAAGTTCAACTCTGTGAGTTGAAAGCAAACATCACAAAGAAGTTTCTGACAATGCTTCTGTTTAGCTTTTCTGTGAAGATTATCCCGTTTCCAACGAAATCTTCAAAGAGGCCCAAACATCCACTTGCAGATGCCACAGAAAGAGTGTTTGGAAACTACTGTTTGAAAAGGAACCTGCAACTCTGTGAGTTGAATGCAGTCATCACAAACAAGTTTCTGACAATGCTTCTCTCTAGTTTTTACGTGACGATAATTCGTTTTCCACCACAGGCCTGAAATCTCTCCAAATGTCCACTTGCAGACCCTACGAAAAGCATGTTTCTCATCTGCTCTATGAAAAGCAACGTGAAACTCTGTGAGTTGAACACAAACATCACAGAGAAGTTTCTGAGAATGCTTCTGTTTAGTTTTTATGTGAAGATATTCCCGTTTCCAAAGACATCTTCAAAGAGGACCACATATCCACTTGCAGATTCCACAAAAAGAGAGATTCAAAACTGCCCTATCCATAGGAGGGTTCAACGCCTTGAGTTGAATTCAATCATCACAGAGAAGTTTCTGAGAAGGCTTCTGTCTAGATTTTATTTGAAGATGTACCCGTTTTGAACGAAGGCCAAAGAGTGGTCCAAATATCCACCTGCAGATCCTACAAAAAGAGTGTTTCAAAGCTGAACTATCAAAGGAAGGTTCAACTCTGGGATTTGAATGCAAACATCACAAAGAATTTTGTGAGAATGCTTCCTTTAATTAGGTGCAGTTATCCCGTTTCCAACAAAATCCTCAGAGAGGTCCAAATATCCACTCGCAGATTCTACAGAAAGTGTGTTTCAAACATTCTCCATCCAAAGGAATGTTCAGCTCTGTGTGTTAAACTCAATCATCACAAAGTATTTTCTGAGAATGTTTCTGTCTAGATTTTATGTGAAGCTCTTCCCTTTACTACCATAGGCCTCAAAGCGCTCCAAATCTCCACTAGCCGATTCTACAAGAAGAGTGTTTCCAAACTGCTCTGTCAATAGGAATGCTCCACTCCGTGAGGTGAATGCAATCATCACAAAGTAGTTTCTGAGAAGGCTTCTATCTAGTATTTATGTGGAGATATTTCCTTTTCCACCACAAACCTCACAGCCCTCCCAATGTCCACTTGCAGATTCTAGAAAGAGAGTGTTTCATAGCTGCTCTTTCCGAAGGAAAGTTCAACTCTGGAAGTTGAATACAAACATCACCAAGGAGTTACCTGAGGATGCCTCTGTGTAATTTTTATGTGAAGATGATTCCGTTTCCAACGAAACCTTCAAAGAGGTCTGCATGTCCCCTTGCAGATTCCAGAGAAAGAGAGTTTCAAAACTGCACTCTCAAAAGGAGTGTTCAACTCTGTGAGTTGAATGCAGTCATCACAGAAAAGTTTCTGAGAATGCTTCTGTCTAGATGTTATGTGAAGATATACCCGTTTCGAAGGAAGTCCACAGAGTGGTCCGAATATCCACTTGTAGATCCTGCAAAAAGAGTGTTTCCAACCTGAACTTTCAAAGGAAGGTTCAATTCTGGGATTTGAATGCAAACATCACAAGAAGATTCTGAGACTGCTTCTGT
The DNA here is from genome assembly GCF_000001405.40 of Homo sapiens. Lineage (NCBI taxonomy): Eukaryota > Metazoa > Chordata > Mammalia > Primates > Hominidae > Homo > Homo sapiens. The sequence goes on along the minus strand of NC_000017.11, from coordinate 23,160,920 downwards.
TTACTTAGCTGAAATTATCCCGTTTGCAACGAATTCCTCAGACAGGTCCAAATATCCACTTGCAGATTCTACAGAAAGTGTGTTTCGAAACTACTCCATCCCAAGGAAAGTACTGCTCTGTGAGTTCAACTCAATCATCCCAGAGAATTTTCTGAGAAAGCTTCTGTCTTGTTTTTATAGGAAGTTATTTCCTTTACTACGATAGGCCTCAAAGAAGTGCAGTTATCCACTTGCAGTTTCTACAAAAAGAGTGTTTCAAAGCTGAACTATCAAAGAAAGGTTCAACACTGTGGGTTGAATGCAAACATCACGAAGAAGGTTCTGAGAATGCTTCTGTTTAGTTCTGTGCGGTTTATCCCGTTTCCCACGAAATCCTCAGGGAGGCCCAAGTATCCGCTTGCAGATCCTACAGATAGTGTGTTTCCAAACTGCTCCATCCAAAGGAATGTTCAGCCCTGTGAGTTAAACTCAGTCGTCACAAAGAGTTTTCTGAGAATGCTGCTGTCTAGTTTTTATATGAAGCTGTTTCCTTTACTACCATAGGCCTCAAAGCGGTCCATATCTCCACTTGCAGATTCTACACAACGAGAGTTTCCAAAGTGCTCTGTGAAAGGGAATGTTCACCTCTGTGACTTGAATGCAATCGTCACAAAGTAGTTTCTGAGAATGCATCTATCTAGTTCTTACGGGAAGATAATTCCTTTTCCACCTCAGGCCTCAAAGCCCTCCAAATATCCACTTGCAGATTCTAGAAAAAGAGTGTTTCAAAGCTTCTCTCTCAAAAGGAAAGTTCAACTCTGTGAGTTGAAAGCAAACATCACAAAGAAGTTTCTGAGAATGCTTCTGTTTAGCTTTTCTGTGAAGATTATCCCGTTTCCAACGAAATCTTCAAAGAGGCCCAAACATCCACTTGCAGATGCCACAGAAAGAGTGTTTGGAAACTGCTGTTTGAAAAGGAACCTTCAACTCTGTGAGTTGAATGCAGTCATCACAAACAAGTTTCTGACAATGCTTCTCTCTAGTTTTTACGTGACGATAATTCATTTTCCACCACAGGCCTGAAAGCTCTCCAAATGTCCACTTGCAGACCCTACGAAAAGCATGTTTCTCATCTGCTCTATGAAAAGCAACGTGAAACTCTGTGAGTTGAACACAAACATCACAGAGAAGTTTCTGAGAATGCTTCTGTTTAGTTTTTATGTGAAGATATTCCCGTTTCCAAAGACATCTTCAAAGAGGACCACATATCCACTTGCAGATTCCACAAAAAGAGAGATTCAAAACTGCTCTATCCATAGGAGGGTTCAACGCTTTGAGTTGAATGCAATCGTCACAGAGAAGTTTCTGAGAAGGCTTCTGTCTAGATTTTATTTGAAGATGTACCCTTTTCGAACGAAGGCCAAAGAGTGGTCCAAATATCCACCTGCAGAGCCTACAAAAAGAGTGTTTCAAAGCTGAACTATCAAAGGAAGGTTCAACTCTGGGATTTGAATGCAAACATCACAAAGAATTTTGTGAGAATGCTTCCGTTTAGTTAGGTGCAGTTATCCCGTTTCCAACGAAATCCTCAGAGAGGTCCAAATATCCACTCGCAGATTCTACAGAAAGTGTGTTTCAAACCTTCTCCATCCAAAGGAATGTTCAGCTCTGTGTGTTAAACTCAATCATCACAAAGTATTTTCTGAGAATGCTTCTGTCTAGATTTTATGTGAAGCTCTTCCCTTTACTACCATAGGCCTCAAAGCGCTCCAAATCTCCACTAGCCTATTGTACAACAAGAGTGTTTCCAAACTGCTCTGTCAATAGGGATGCTCAACTCCGTGAGGTGAATGCAATCATCACAAAGTAGTTTCTGAGAAGGCTTCTATCTAGTATTTATGTGGAGATATTTCCTTTTCCACCACAAACCTCACAGCCCTCCCAATGTCCACTTTCAGATTCTAGAAAAAGAGTGTTTCATAGCTGCTCTTTCCGAAGGAAAGTTCAACTCTGGAAGTTGAATACAAACATCACCAAGGAGTTCCTGAGGGTGCTTCTGTGTAATTTTTATGTGAAGATGATTCCGTTTCCAACGAAACCTTCAAAGAGGTCTGCATGTCCCCTTGCAGATTCCAGAGAAAGAGAGTTTCAAAACTGCGCTCTCAAAAGGAGTGTTCAACTCAGTGAGTTGAATGGAGTCATCACAGAAAAGTTTCTGAGAATGCTTCTGTCTAGATGTTATGTGAAGATATACCCGTTTCGAACGAAGACCACAGAGTGGTCCCAAAATAAATTGGTAGATCCTGCAAAAAGAGGGTTTCAAACCTGAACTTTCAAAGGAAGGTTCAACTCTGGGATTTGAATGCAAACATCACAAAGAAGATTCTGAGATTGCTTCTGTTTAGTTAGCTGAAGTTATCCCGTTTCCAACGAATTCCTCAGACAGGTCCAAATATCCACTTGCAGATTCTACAGAAAGTGTGTTTCGAAACTACTCCATCCCAAGGAAAGTACAGCTCTGTGAGTTCAACTCAATCATCCCAGAGGTTTTTCTGAGAAAGCTTCTGTCTTGTTTTTATAGGAAGTTATTTCCTTTACTACGATAGGCCTCAAAGAAGTGCAGTTATCCACTTGCAGTTTCTACAAAAAGAGTGTTTCAAACCTGAACTATCAAAGAAAGGTTCAACACTGTGGGTTGAATGCAAACATCACGAAGAAGGTTCTGAGAATGCTTCTGTTTAGTTCGGTGCGGTTTATCCCGTTTCCAACGAAATCCTCAGGGAGGCCCAAATATCCGCTTGCAGATCCTACAGATAGTGTGTTTCCAAACTGCTCCATCCAAAGGAATGTTCAGCCCTGTGAGTTAAACTCAGTCGTCACAAAGAGTTTTCTGAGAATGCTGCTGTCTAGTTTTTATATGAAGCTGTTTCCTTTACTACCATAGGCCTCAAAGCGGTCCATATCTCCACTTGCAGATTCTACACAACGAGAGTTTCCAAAGTGCTCTGTGAAAGGGAATGTTCACCTCTGTGACTAGAATGCAATCGTCACAAAGTAGTTTCTGAGAATGCATCTATCTAGTTCTTACGGGAAGATAATTCCTTTTCCACCTCAGGCCTCAAAGCCCTCCAAATATCCTCTTGCAGATTCTAGAAAAAGAGTGTTTCAAAGCTTCTCTCTCAAAAGGAAAGTTCAACTCTGTGAGTTGAAAGCAAACATCACAAAGAAGTTTCTGAGAATGCTTCTGTTTAGCTTTTCTGTGAAGATTATCCCGTTTCCAACGAAATCTTCAAAGAGGCCCAAACATCCACTTGCAGATGCCACAGAAAGAGTGTTTGGAAACTGCTGTTTGAAAAGGAACCTTCAACTCTGTGAGTTGAATGCAGTCATCACAAACAAGTTTCTGACAATGCTTCTCTCTAGTTTTTACGTGACGATAATTCGTTTTCCACCACAGGCCTGAAATCTCTCCAAATGTCCACTTGCAGACCCTACGAAAAGCATGTTTCTCATCTGCTCTATGAAAAGCAACGTGAAACTCTGTGAGTTGAACACAAACATCACAGAGAAGTTTCTGAGAATGCTTCTGTTTAGTTTTTATGTGAAGATATTCCCGTTTCCAAAGACATCTTCAAAGAGGACCACATATCCACTTGCAGATTCCACAAAAAGAGAGATTCAAAACTGCTCTATCCATAGGAGGGTTCAACGCTGTGAGTTGAATGCAATCGTCACAGAGAAGTTTCTGAGAAGGCTTCTGTCTAGATTTTATTTGAAGATGTACCCGTTTCGAACGAAGGCCAAAGAGTGGTCCAAATATCCACCTGCAGAACCTACAGAAAGAGTGTTTCAAAGCTGAACTATCAAAGGAAGGTTCAACTCTGGGATTTGAATGCAAACATCACAAAGAATTTTGTGAGAATGCTTCCGTTTAGTTAGGTGCAGTTATCCCGTTTCCAACGAAATCCTCAGAGAGGTCCAAATATCCACTCGCAGATTCTACAGAAAGTGTGTTTCAAACCTTCTCCATCCAAAGGAATGTTCAGCTCTGTGTGTTAAACTCAATCATCACAAAGTATTTTCTGAGAATGCTTCTGTCTAGATTTTATGTGAAGCTCTTCCCTTTACTACCATAGGCCTCAAAGCGCTCCAAATCTCCACTAGCCGATTCTACAAGAAGAGTGTTTCCAAACTGCTCTGTCAATAGGAATGCTCAACTCCGTGAGGTGAATGCAGTCATCACAAAGTAGTTTCTGAGAAGGCTTCTATCTAGTATTTATGTGGAGATATTTCCTTTTCCACCACAAACCTCACAGCCCTCCCAATGTCCACTTGCAGATTTTAGAAAAAGTGTGTTTTATAGCTGCTCTTTCCGAAGGAAAGTTCAACTCTGGAAGTTGAATACAAACATCACCAAGGAGTTCCTGAGGATGCTTCTGTGTAATTTTTATGTGAAGATGATTCCGTTTCCAACGAAACCTTCAAAGAGGTCTGCATGTCCCCTTGCAGATTCCAGAGAAAGAGAGTTTCAAAACTGCACTCTCAAAAGGAGTGTTCAACTCTGTGAGTTGAATGCAGTCATCACAGAAAAGTTTCTGAGAATGCTTCTGTCTAGATGTTATGTGAAGATATACCCGTTTCGAACGAAGTCCACAGAGTGGTCCGAATATCCACTTGTAGATCCTGCAAAAAGAGTGTTTCCAACCTGAACTTTCAAAGGAAGGTTCCATTCTGGGATTTGAATGCAAACATCACAAGAAGATTCTGAGACTGCTTCTGTTTACTTAGCTGAAATTATCCCGTTTGCAACGAATTCCTCAGACAGGTCCAAATATCCACTTGCAGATTCTACAGAAAGTGTGTTTTGAAACTACTCCATCCCAAGGAAAGTACTGCTCTGTGAGTTCAACTCAATCATCCCAGAGAATTTTCTGAGAAAGCTTCTGTCTTGTTTTTATAGGAAGTTATTTCCTTTACTACGATAGGCCTCAAAGAAGTGCAGTTATCCACTTGCAGTTTCTACAAAAAGAGTGTTTCAAACCTGAACTAGCAAAGAAAGGTTCAACACTGTGGGTTGAATGCAAACATCACGAAGAAGGTTCTGAGAATGCTTCTGTTTAGTTCTGTGCGGTTTATACCGTTTCCAACGAAATCCTCAGGGAGGCCCAAGTATCCGCTTGCAGATCCTACAGATAGTGTGTTTCCAAACTGCTCCATCCAAAGGAATGTTCAGCCCTGTGAGTTAAACTCAGTCGTCACAAAGAGTTTTCTGAGAATGCTGCTGTCTAGTTTTTATATGAAGCTGTTTCCTTTACTACCATAGGCCTCAAAGCGGTCCATATCTCCACTTGCAGATTCTACACAACGAGAGTTTCCAAAGTGCTCTCTGAAAGGGAATGTTCACCTCTGTGACTTGAATGCAATCGTCACAAAGTAGTTTCTGAGAATGCATCTATCTAGTTCTTACGGGAAGATAATTCGTTTTCCACCACAGGCCTCAAAGCCCTCCAAATATCCACTTGCAGATTCTAGAAAAAGAGTGTTTCAAAGCTTCTCTCTCAAAAGGAAAGTTCAACTCTGTGAGTTGAAAGCAAACATCACAAAGAAGTTTCTGAGAATGCTTCTGTTTAGCTTTTCTGTGAAGATTATCCCGTTTCCAACGAAATCTTCAAAGAGGCCCAAACATCCACTTGCAGATGCCACAGAAAGAGTGTTTGGAAACTGCTGTTTGAAAAGGAACCTTCAACTCTGTGAGTTGAATGCAGTCATCACAAACAAGTTTCTGACAATGCTTCCCTCTAGTTTTTACTTGACGATTATTCGTTTTCCACCACAGGCCTGAAATCTCTCCAAATGTCCACTTGCAGACCCTACGAAAAGAATGTTTCTCATCTGCTCTATGAAAAGCATCGTGAAACTCTGTGATTTGGACACAAACATCACAGAGAAGTTTCTGAGAATGCTTCTGTTTAGTTTTTATGTGAAGATATTCCCGTTTCCAAAGACATTTTCAAAGAGGACCACACAACCACTTGCAGATTCCACAAAAAGAGAGATTCAAAACTGCTCTATCCATAGGAGGGTTCAACGCTTTGAGTTGAATGCAATCATCACAGAGAAGTTTCTGAGAAGGCTTCTGTCTAGATTTTATTTGAAGATGTACCCGTTTCGAACGAAGGCCAAAGAGTGGTCCAAATATCCACCTGCAGATCCTACAAAAAGAGTGTTTCAAAGCTGAACTATCAAAGGAAGGTTCAACTCTGGGATTTGAATGCAAACATCACAAAGAATTTTGTGAGAATGCTTCCGTTTAGTTAGGTGCAGTTATCCCGTTTCCATCGAAATCCTCAGAGAGGTCCAAATATCCACTCGCAGATTCTACAGAAAGTGTGTTTCAAACCTGCTCCATCCAAAGTAATGTTCAGCTCTGTGTGTTAAACTCAATCATCACAAAGTATTTTCTGAGAATGCTTCTGTCTAGATTTTATGTGAAGCTCTTCCCTTTACTACCATAGGCCTCAAAGCGCTCCAACTCTCCACTAGCCGATTCTACAAGAAGAGTGTTTCCAAACTGCTCTGTCAATAGGAATGCTCCACTCCGTGAGGTGAATGCAGTCATCACAAAGTAGTTTCTGAGAAGGCTTCTATCTAGTATTTATGTGGAGATATTTCCTTTTCCACCACAAACCTCACAGCCCTCCCAATGTCCACTTGCAGATTCTAGAAAAAGAGTGTTTCATAGCTGCTCTTTCTGAAGGAAAGTTCAACTCTGGAAGTTGAATACAAACATCACCAAGGAGTTCCTGAGGATGCTTCTGTGTAATTTTTATGTGAAGATGATTCCGTTTCCAACGAAACCTTCAAAGAGGTCTGCATGTCCCCTTGCAGATTCCAGAGAAAGAGAGTTTCAAAACTGCGCTCTCAAAAGGAGTGTTCAACTCTGTGAGTTGAATGCAGTCATCACAGAAAAGTTTCTGAGAATGCTTCTGTCTAGATGTTATGTGAAGATATACCCGTTTCGAACGAAGTCCACAGAGTGGTCCGAATATCCACTTGTAGATCCTGCAAAAAGAGTGTTTCCAACCTGAACTTTCAAAGGAAGGTTCAATTCTGGGATTTGAATGCAACCATCACAGGAAGATTCTGAGACTGCTTCTGTTTACTTAGCTGAAATTATCCTGTTTGCAACGAATTCCTCATACAGGTCCAAATATCCACTTGCAGATTCTACAGAAAGTGTGTTTTGAAACTACTCCATCCCAAGGAAAGTACTGCTCTGTGAGTTCAACTCAATCATCCCAGAGAATTTTCTGAGAAAGCTTTCTGTCTTGTTTTTATAGGAAGTTATTTCCTTTACTACGATAGGCCTCAAAGAAGTGCAGTTATCCACTTGCAGTTTCTACTAAAAGAGTGTTTCAAACCTGAACTATCAAAGAAAGGTTCAACACTGTGGGTTGAATGCAAACATCACGAAGAAGGTTCTGAGAATGCTTCTGTTTAGTTCTGTGCGGTTTATCCCGTTTCCCACGAAATCCTCAGGGAGGCCCAAGTATCCGCTTGCAGATCCTACAGATAGTGTGTTTCCAAACTGCTCCATCCAAAGGAATGTTCAGCCCTGTGAGTTTAACTCAGTCGTCACAAAGAGTTTTCTGAGAATGCTGCTGTCTAGTTTTTATATGAAGCTGTTTCCTTTACTACCATAGGCCTCAAAGCGGTCCATATCTCCACTTGCAGATTCTACACAACGAGAGTTTCCAAAGTGCTCTCTGAAAGGGAATGTTCACCTCTGTGACTTGAATGCAATCGTCACAAAGTAGTTTCTGAGAATGCATCTATCTAGTTCTTACGGGAAGATAATTCCTTTTCCACCACAGGCCTCAAAGCCCTCCAAATATCCACTTGCAGATTCTAGAAAAAGAGTGTTTCAAAGCTTCTCTCTCAAAAGGAAAGTTCAACTCTGTGAGTTGAAAGCAAACATCACAAAGAAGTTTCTGAGAATGCTTCTGTTTAGCTTTTCTGTGAAGATTATCCCTTTTCCAACGAAATCTTCAAAGAGGCCCAAACATCCACTTGCAGATGCCACAGAAAGAGTGTTTGGAAACTGCTGTTTGAAAAGGAACCTTCAACTCTGTGAGTTGAATGCAGTCATCACAAACAAGTTTCTGACAATGCTTCCCTCTAGTTTTTACGTGACGATAATTCGTTTTCCACCACAGGCTTGAAATCTCTCCAAATGTCCACTTGCAGACCCTACGAAAAGCATGTTTCTCATCTGCTCTATGAAAAGCAACGTGAAACTCTGTGATTTGAACACAAACATCACAGAGAAGTTTCTGAGAATGCTTCTGTTTAGTTTTTATGTGAAGATATTCCCGTTTCCAAAGACATCTTCAAAGAGGACCACATATCCACTTGCAGATTCCACAAAAAGAGAGATTCAAAACTGCTCTATCCATAGGAGGGTTCAACACTTTGAGTTGAATGCAATCATCACAGAGAAGTTTCTGAGAAGGCTTCTGTCTAGATTTTATTTGAAGATGTACCCGTTTCGAACGAAGGCCAAAGAGTGGTCCAAATATCCACCTGCAGATCCTACAAAAAGAGTGTTTCAAAGCTGAACTATCAAAGGAAGGTTCAACTCTGGGATTTGAATGCAAACATCACAAAGAATTTTGTGAGAATGCTTCCGTTTAGTTAGGTGCAGTAATCCCGTTTCCAACGAAATCCTCAGAGAGGTCCAAATATCCACTCGCAGATTCTACAGAAAGTGTGTTTCAAACCTGCTCCATCCAAAGGAATGTTCAGCTCTGTGTGTTAAACTCAATCATCACAAAGTATTTTCTGAGAATGCTTCTGTCTAGATTTTATGTGAAGCTCTTCCCTTTACTACCATAGGCCTCAAAGCGCACCAAATCTCCACTAGCAGATTCTACAACAAGAGTGTTTCCAAACTGCTCTGTCAATAGGAATGCTCCACTCCGTGAGGTGAATGCAATCATCACAAAGTAGTTTCTGAGAAGGCTTCTATCTAGTATTTACGTGGAGATATTTCTTTTCCACCACAAACCTCACAGCCCTCCCAATGTCCACTTGCAGATTCTATAAAAGGAGTGTTTCATAGCTGCTCTTTCCGAAGGAAAGTTCAACTCTGGAAATTGAATACAAACATCACCAAGGAGTTCCTGAGAATGCTTCTGTGTAATTTTTATGTGAAGATGATTCCGTTTCCAACGAAACCTTCAAAGAGGTCTGCATGTCCCCTTGCAGATTCCAGAGAAAGAGAGTTTCCAAACTGCGCTCTCAAAAGGAGTGTTCCACTCTGTGAGTTGAATGCAGTCATCACAGAAAAGTTTCTGAGAATGCTTCTGTCTAGATGTTATGTGAAGATATACCCGTTTCGAACGAAGTCCACAGAGTGGTCCGAATATCCACTTGTAGATCCTGCAAAAAGAGTGTTTCCAACCTGAACTTTCAAAGGAAGGTTCAATTCTGGGATTTGAATGCAAACATCACAAGAAGATTCTGAGACTGCTCTTCTGTTTACTTAGCTGAAATTATCCCGTTTGCAACGAATTCCTCAGACAGGTCCAAATACCCACTTGCAGATTCTACAGAAAGTGTGTTTCGAAACTACTCCATCCCAAGGAAAGTACTGCTCTGTGAGTTCAACTCAATCATCCCAGAGAATTTTCTGAGAAAGCTTCTGTCTTGTTTTTATAGGAAGTTATTTCCTTTACTACGATAGGCCTCAAAGAAGTGCAGTTATCCACTTGCAGTTTCTACAAAAAGAGTGTTTCAAACCTGAACTATCAAAGAAAGGTTCAACACTGTGGGTTGAATGCAAACATCACGAAGAAGGTTCTGAGAATGCTTCTGTTTAGTTCTGTGCGGTTTATCCCGTTTCCAACGAAATCCTCAGGGAGGCCCAAGAATCCGCTTGCAGATCCTACAGATAGTGTGTTTCCAAACTGCTCCATCCAAAGGAATGTTCAGCCCTGTGAGTTAAACTCAGTCGTCACAAAGAGTTTTCTGAGAATGCTGCTGTCTAGTTTTTATATGAAGCTGTTTCCTTTACTACCATAGGCCTCAAAGCGGTCCATATCTCCACTTGCAGATTCTACACAACGAGAGTTTCCAAAGTGCTCTCTGAAAGGGAATGTTCACCTCTGTGACTTGAATGCAATCGTCACAAAGTAGTTTCTGAGAATGCATCTATCTAGTTCTTACGGGAAGATAATTCGTTTTCCACCACAGGCCTCAAAGCCCTCCAAATATCCACTTGCAGATTCTAGAAAAAGAGTGTTTCAAAGCTTCTCTCTCAAAAGGAAAGTTCAACTCTGTGAGTTGAAAGCAAACATCACAAAGAAGTTTCTGAGAATGCTTCTGTTTAGCTTTTCTGTGAAGAGTATCCCGTTTCCAACGAAATCTTCAAAGAGGCCCAAACATCCACTTGCAGATGCCACAGAAAGAGTGTTTGGAAACTGCTGTTTGGAAAGGAACCTTCAACTCTGTGAGTTGAATGCAGTCATCACAAACAAGTTTCTGACAATGCTTCTCTCTAGTTTTTACGTGACGATAATTCGTTTTCCACCACAGGCCTGAAAGCTCTCCAAATGTCCACTTGCAGACCCTACGAAAAGCATGTTTCTCATCTGCTCTATGAAAAGCAACGTGAAACTCTGTGAGTTGAACACAAACATCACAGAGAAGTTTCTGAGAATGCTTCTGTTTAGTTTTTATGTGAAGATATTCCCGTTTCCAAAGACACCTTCAAAGAGGACCACATATCCACTTGCAGATTCCACAAAAAGAGAGATTCAAAACTGCTCTATCCATAGGAGGGTTCAACGCTTTGAGTTGAATGCAATCGTCACAGAGAAGTTTCTGAGAAGGCTTCTGTCTAGATTTTATTTGAAGATGTACCCGTTTCGAACGAAGGCCAAAGAGTGGTCCAAATATCCACCTGCAGATCCTACAAAAAGAGTGTTTCAAAGCTGAACTATCAAAGGAAGGTTCAACTCTGGGATTTGAATGCAAACATCACAAAGAATTTTGTGAGAATGCTTCCGTTTAGTTAGGTGCAGTTATCCCGTTTCCAACGAAATCCTCAGAGAGGTCCAAATATCCACTCGCAGATTCTACAGAAAGTGTGTTTCAAACCTTCTCCATCCAAAGGAATGTTCAGCTCTGTGTGTTAAACTCAATCATCACAAAGTATTTTCTGAGAATGCTTCTGTCTACATTTTATGTGAAGCTCTTCCCTTTACTACCATAGGCCTCAAAGCGCTCCAAATCTCCACTAGCAGATTCTACAACAAGGGTGTTTCCAAACTGCTCTGTCAATAGGAATGCTCCACTCCGTGAGGTGAATGCAATCATCACAAAGTAGTTTCTGAGAAGGCTTCTATCTAGTATTTATGTGGAGATATTTCCTTTTCCACCACAAACCTCACAGCCCTCCCAATGTCCACTTGCAGATTCTAGAAAAAGAGTGTTTCATAGCTGCTCGTTCCGAAGGAAAGTTCAACTCTGGAAGTTGAATACAAACATCACCAAGGAGTTCCTGAGGATGCTTCCGTGTAATTTTTATGTGAAGATGATTCCGTTTCCAACGAAACCTTCAAAGAGGTCTGCATGTCCCCTTGCAGATTCCAGAGAAAGAGAGTTTCAAAACTGCGCTCTCAAAAGGAGTGTTCAACTCTGTGAGTTGAATGCAGTCATCACAGAAAAGTTTCTGAGAATGCTTCTGTCTAGATGTTATGTGAAGATATACCCGTTTCGAACGAAGTCCACAGAGTGGTCCGAATATCCACTTGTAGATCCTGCAAAAAGAGTGTTTCCAACCTGAACTTTCAAAGGAATGTTCAATTCTGGGATTTGAATGCAAACATCACAAGAAGATTCTGAGACTGCTTCTGTTAATTAGCTGAAATTATCCCGTTTGCAACGAATTCCTCAGACAGGTCCAAATATCCACTTGCAGATTGTACAGAAAGTGTGTTTCGAAACTACTCCATCCCAAAGAAAGTACTGCTCTGTGAGTTCAACTCAATCATCCCAGAGAATTTTCTGAGAAAGCTTCTGTCTTGTTTTTATAGGAAGTTATTTCCTTTACTACGATAGGCCTCAAAGAAGTGCAGTTATCCACTTGCAGTTTCTACAAAAAGAGTGTTTCAAACCTGAACTATCAAAGAAAGGTTCAACACTGTGGGTTGAATGCAAACATCACGAAGAAGGTTCTGAGAATGCTTCTGTTTAGTTCTGTGCGGTTTATCCCGTTTCCAACGAAATCCTCAGAGGGGCCCAAGTATCCGCTTGCAGATCCTACAGATAGTGTGTTTCCAAACTGCTCCATCCAAAGGAATGTTCAGCCCTGTGAGTTAAACTCAGTCGTCACAAAGAGTTTTCTGAGAATGCTGCTGTCTAGTTTTTATATGAAGCTGTTTCCTTTACTACCATAGGCCTCAAAGCGGTCCATATCTCCACTTGCAGATTCTACACAACGAGAGTTTCCAAAGTGCTCTGTGAAAGGGAATGTTCACCTCTGTGACTTGAATGCAATCGTCACAAAGTAGTTTCTGAGAATGCATCTATCTAGTTCTTACGGGAAGATAATTCCTTTTCCACCTCAGGCCTCAAAGCCCTCCAAATATCCACTTGCAGATTCTAGAAAAAGAGTGTTTCAAAGCTTCTCTCTCAAAAGGAAAGTTCAACTCTGTGAGTTGAAAGCAAACATCACAAAGAAGTTTCTGAGAATGCTTCTGTTTAGCTTTTCTGTGAAGATTATCCCGTTTCCAACGAAATCTTCAAAGAGGCCCAAACATCCACTTGCAGATGCCACAGAAAGAGTGTTTGGAAACTGCTGTTTGAAAAGGAACCTTCAACTCTGTGAGTTGAATGCAGTCATCACAAACAAGTTTCTGACAATGCTTCTCTCTAGTTTTTAACGTGACGATAATTCGTTTTCCACCACAGGCCTGAAAGCTCTCCAAATGTCCACTTGCAGACCCAACGAAAAGCATGTTTCTCATCTGCTCTATGAAAAGCAACGTGATACTCTGTGAGTTGAACACAAACATCACAGAGAAGTTTCTGAGAATGCTTCTGTTTAGTTTTTATGTGAAGATATTCCCGTTTCCAAAGACATCTTCAAAGAGGACCACATATCCACTTGCAGATTCCACAAAAAGAGAGATTAAAAACTGCTCTATCCATAGGAGGGTTCAACTCTTTGAGTTGAATGCAATCGTCACAGAGAAGTTTCTGAGAAGGCTTCTGTCTAGATTTTATATGAAGATGTACCCGTTTCGAAGGAAGGCCAAAGTGTGGTCCAAATATCCACTTGCAGATCCTACAAAAAGAGTGTTTCAAAGCTGAACTATCAAAGGAAGGTTCAACTCTGGGATTTGAATGCAAACATCACGAAGAATTTTGTGAGAATGCTTCCGTTTAGTTAGGTGCAGTTATCCCGTTTCCAACGAAAACCTCAGAGAGGTCCAAATATCCACTCGCAGATTCTACAGAAAGTGTGTTTCAAACCTTCTCCATCCAAAGGAATGTTCAGCTCTGTGTGTTAAACTCAATCATCACAAAGTATTTTCTGAGAATGCTTCTGTCTAGATTTTATGTGAAGCTCTTCCCTTTACTACCATAGGCCTCAAAGCGCTCCAAATCTCCACTAGCAGATTCTACAACAAGAGTGTTTCCAACCTGCTCTGTCAATAGGAATGCTCCACTCCGTGAGGTGAATGCAATCATCACAAAGTAGTTTCTGAGAAGGGTTCTATCTAGTATTTATGTGGAGATATTTCCTTTTCCACCACAAACCTCACAGCCCTCCCAATGTCCACTTGCAGATTCTAGAAAAAGAGTGTTTCATAGCTGCTCTTTCCGAAGGAAAGTTCAACTCTGGAAGTTGAATACAAACATCACCAAGGAGTTCCTGAGGAGGCTTCCGTGTAATTTTTATGTGAAGATGATTCCGTTTCCAACGAAACCTTCAAAGAGGTCTGCATGTCCCCTTGCAGATTCCAGAGAAAGAGAGTTTCAAAACTGCGCTCTCAAAAGGAGTGTTCAACTCTGTGAGTTGAATGCAGTCATCACAGAAAAGTTTACTGAGAATGCTTCTGTCTAGATGTTATGTGAAGATATACCCGTTTCGAACGAAGTCCACAGAGTGGTCCGAATATCCACTTGTAGATCCTGCAAAAAGAGTGTTTCCAACCTGAACTTTCAAAGGAAGGTTTCATTCTGGGATTTGAATGCAAACATCACAAGAAGATTCTGAGACTGCTTCTGTTTACTTAGCTGAAATTATCCCGTTTGCAACGAATTCCTCAGACAGGTCCAAATATCCACTTGCAGATTCTACAGAAAGTGTGTTTCGAAACTACTCCATCCCAAGGAAAGTACTGCTCTGTGAGTTCAACTCAATCATCCCAGAGAATTTTCTGAGAAAGCTTCTGTCTTGTTTTTATAGGAAGTTATTTCCTTTACTACGATAGGCCTCAAAGAAGTGCAGTTATCCACTTGCAGTTTCTACAAAAAGAGTGTTTCAAACCTGAACTATCAAAGAAAGGTTCAACACTGTGGGTTGAATGCAAACATCACGAAGAAGGTTCTGAGAATGCTTCTGTTTAGTTCTGTGCAGTTTATCCCGTTTCCAACGAAATCCTCAGGGAGGCCCAAGTATCCGCTTGCAGATCCTACAGATAGTGTGTTTCCAAACTGCTCCATCCAAAGGAATGTTCAGCCCTGTGAGTTAAACTCAGTCGTCACAAAGAGTTTTCTGAGAATGCTGCTGTCTAGTTTTTATATGAAGCTGTTTCCTTTACTAGCATAGGCCTCTAAGCGGTCCATATCTCCACTTGCAGATTCTACACAACGAGAGTTTCCAAAGTGCTCTCTGAAAGGGAATGTTCACCTCTGTGACTTGAATGCAATCGTCACAAAGTAGTTTCTGAGAATGCATCTATCTAGTTTTTACGGGAAGTTAATTCCTTTTCCACCACAGGCCTCAAAGCCCTCCAAATATCCACTTGCAGATTCTAGAGAAAGAGTGTTTCAAAGCTTCTCTCTCAAAAGGAAAGTTCAACTCTGTGAGTAGAATGCAAACATCACAAAGAAGTTTCTGACAATGCTTCTGTTTAGCTTTTCTGTGAAGATTATCCCGTTTCCAAAGACATCTTCAAAGAGGTCCAACTATCCAATTGCAGATTCCACAGAAAGTGTGTTTGGAAACTGCTGTTTGAAAGGGAACCTTCAACTCTGTGAGTTGAATGCAATCATCACAAACAAGTTTCTGACAATGCTTCTCTCTAGTTTTTACGTGACGATAATTCGTTTTCCACCACAGGCCTGAAATCTCTCCAAATGTCCACTTGCAGACCCTACGAAAAGCATGTTTCTCATCTGCTGTATGAAAAGCAACGTGAAACTCTGTGAGTTGAACACAAACATCACAGAGAAGTTTCTGAGAATGCTTCTGTTTAGTTTTTATTTGAAGATATTCCCGTTTCCAAAGACATCTTCAAAGAGGACCACATATCCACTTGCAGATTCCACAAAAAGAGAGATTCAAAACTGCTCTATCCATAGGAGGGTGCAACGCTGTGAGTTGAATGCAATCGTCACAGAGAAGTTTCTGAGAAGGCTTCTGTCTAGATTTTATTTGAAGATGTACCCGTTTCGAACGAAGGCCAAAGAGTGGTCCAAATATCCACCTGCAGAACCTACAAAAAGAGTGTTTCAAAGCTGAACTATCAAAGGAAGGTTCAACTCTGGGATTTGAATGCAAACATCACAAAGAATTTTGTGAGAATGCTTCCGTTTAGTTAGGTGCAGTTATCCCGTTTCCAACGAAATCCTCAGAGAGGTCCAAATATCCACTCGCAGATTCTACAGAAAGTGTGTTTCAAACCTTCTCCATCCAAAGGAATGTTCAGCTCTGTGTGTTAAACTCAATCATCACAAAGTATTTTCTGAGAATGCTTCTGTCTAGATTTTATGTGAAGCTCTTCCCTTTACTACCATAGGCCTCAAAGCGCTCCAAATCTCCACTAGCCGATTCTACAAGAAGAGTGTTTCCAAACTGCTCTGTCAATAGGAATGCTCCACTCCCGTGAGGTGAATGCAATCATCACAAAGTAGTTTTCTGAGAAGGCTTCTATCTAGTATTTATGTGGAGATATTTCCTTTTCCACCACAAACCTCACAGCCCTCCCAATGTCCACTTGCAGATTCTAGAAAAAGAGTGTTTCATAGCTGCTCTTTCCGAAGGAAAGTTCAACTCTGGAAGTTGAATAAAAACATCACCAAGGAGTTCCTGAGGATGCTTCCGTGTAATTTTTATGTGAAGATGATTCCGTTTCCAACGAAACCTTCAAAGAGGTCTGCATGTCCCCTTGCAGATTCCAGAGAAAGAGAGTTGCAAAACTGCGCTCTCAAAAGGAGTGTTCAACTCTGTGAGTTGAATGCAGTCATCACAGAAAAGTTTCTGAGAATGCTTCTGTCTAGATGTTATGTGAAGATATACCCGTTTCGAACGAAGTCCACAGAGTGGTCCGAATATCCACTTGTAGATCCTGCAAAAAGAGTGTTTCCAACCTGAACTTTCAAAGGAAGGTTCAATTCTGGGATTTGAATGCAAACATCACAAGAAGATTCTGAGACTGATTCTGTTTACTTAGCTGAAATTATCCCGTTTGCAACGAATTCCTCAGACAGGTCCAAATATCCACTTGCAGATTCTACAGAAAGTGTGTTTCGAAACTACTCCATCCCAACGAAAGTACTGCTCTGTGAGTTCAACTCAATCATCGCAGAGAATTTTCTGAGAAAGCTTCTGTCTTGTTTTTATAGGAAGTTATTTCCTTTACTACGATAGGCCTCAAAGAAGTGCAGTTATCCACTTGCAGTTTCTACAAAAAGAGTGTTTCAAACCTGAACTATCAAAGAAAGGTTCAACACTGTGGGTTGAATGCAAACATCACGAAGAAGGTTCTGAGAATGCTTCTGTTTAGTTCTGTGCGGTTTATCCCGTTTCCAACGAAATCCTCAGAGAGGCCCAAGTATCCGCTTGCAGATCCTACAGATAGTGTGTTTCCAAACTGCTCCATCCAAAGGAATGTTCAGCCCTGTGAGTTAAACTCAGTCGTCACAAAGAGTTTTCTGAGAATGCTGCTGTCTAGTTTTTATATGAAGCTGTTTCCTTTACTACCATAGGCCTCAAAGCGGTCCATATCTCCACTTGCAGATTCTACACAACGAGAGTTTCCAAAGTGCTCTCTGAAAGGGAATGTTCACCTCTGTGACTTGAATGCAATCGTCACAAAGTAGTTTCTGAGAATGCATCTATCTAGTTCTTACGGGAAGATAATTCCTGTTCCACCTCAGGCCTCAAAGCCCTCCAAATATCCACTTGCAGATTCTAGAAAAAGAGTGTTTCAAAGCTTCTCTCTCAAAAGGAAAGTTCAACTCTGTGAGTTGAAAGCAAACATCACAAAGAAGTTTCTGAGCATGCTTCTGTTTAGCTTTTCTGTGAAGATTATCCCGTTTCCAACGAAATCTTCAAAGAGGCCCAAACATCCACTTGCAGATGCCACAGAAAGAGTGTTTGGAAACTGCTGTTTGGAAAGGAACCTTCAACTCTGTGAGTGGAATGCAGTCATCACAAACAAGTTTCTGACAATGCTTCTCTCTCGTTTTTACGTGACGATAATTCGTTTTCCACCACAGGCCTGAAATCTCTCCAAATGTCCACTTGCAGACCCTACGAGAAGCATGTTTCTCATCTGCTCTATGAAAAGCAACGTGAAACTCTGTGAGTTGAACACAAACATCACAGAGAAGTTTCTGAGAATGCTTCTGTTTAGTTTTTATGTGAAGATATTCCCGTTTCCAAAGACATCTTCAAAGAGGACCACATATCCACTTGCAGATTCCACAAAAAGAGAGATTCAAAACTGCTCTATCCATAGGAGGGTTCAACTCTTTGGGTTGAATGCAATCGTCACAGAGAAGTTTCTGAGAAGGCTTCTGTCTAGATTTTATTTGAAGATGTACCCGTTTCGAACGAAGGCCAAAGAGTGGTCCAAATATCCACCTGCAGATCCTACAAAAAGAGTGTTTCAAAGCTGAACTATCAAAGGAAGGTTCAACTCTGGGATTTGAATGCAAACATCACAAAGAATTTTGTGAGAACGCTTCCGTTTAGTTAGGTGCAGTTATCCCGTTTCCAACGAAATCCTCAGAGACGTCCAAATATCCACTCGCAGATTCTACAGAAAGTGTGTTTCAAACCTTCTCCATCCAAAGGAATGTTCAGCTCTGTGTGTTAAACTCAATCATCACAAAGTGTTTTCTGAGAATGCTTCTGTCTAGATTTTATGTGAAGCTCTTCCCTTTACTACCATAGGCCTCAAAGCGCTCCAAATCTCCACTAGCCGATTCTACGAGAAGAGTGTTTCCAAACTGCTCTGTCAATAGGAATGCTCCACTCCGTGAGGTGAATGCAATCATCACAAAGTAGTTTCTGAGAAGGCTTCTATCTAGTATTTATGTGGAGATATTTCCTTTTCCACCACAAACCTCACAGCCCTCCCAATGTCCACTTGCAGATTCTAGAAAAAGAGTGTTTCATAGCTGCTCTTTCCGAAGGAAAGTTCAACTCTGGAAGTTGAATACAAACATCACCAAGGAGTTCCTGAGGATGCCTCTGTGTAATTTTTATGTGAAGATGATTCCGTTTCCAACGAAACCTTCAAAGAGGTCTGCATGTCCCCTTGCAGATTCCAGAGAAAGAGAGTTTCAAAACTGTGCTCTCAAAAGGAGTGTTCAACTCTGTGAGTTGAATGCAGTCATCACAGAAAAGTTTCTGAGAATGCTTCTGTCTAGATGTTATGTGAAGATATACCCGTTTCGAACGAAGTCCACAGAGTGGTCCGAATATCCACTTGTAGATCCTGCAAAAAGAGTGTTTCAAACCTGAACTTTCAAAGGAAGGTTCAATTCTGGGATTTGAATGCAAACATCACAAGAAGATTCTGAGACTGCTTCTGTTTACTTAGCTGAAATTATCCCGTTTGCAACGAATTCCTCAGACAGGTCCAAATATCCACTTGCAGATTCTACAGAAAGTGTGTTTCGAAACTACTCCATCCCAAGGAAAGTACTGCTCTGTGAGTTCAACTCAATCATCCCAGAGAATTTTCTGAGAAAGCTTCTGTCTTGTTTTTATAGGAAGTTATTTCCTTTATTACGATAGGCCTCAAAGAAGTGCAGTTATCCACTTGCAGTTTCTACAAAAAGAGTGTTTCAAACCTGAACTATCAAAGAAAGGTTCAACACTGTGGGTTGAATGCAAACATCACGAAGAAGGTTCTGAGAATGCTTCTGTTTAGTTCTGTGCGGTTTATTCCGTTTCCAACGAAATCCTCAGAGAGGCCCAAGTATCCGCTTGCAGATCCTACAGATAGTGTGTTTCCAAACTGCTCCATCCAAAGGAATGTTCAGCCCTGTGAGTTAAACTCAGTCGTCACAAAGAGTTTTCTGAGAATGCTGCTGTCTAGTTTTTATATGAAGCTGTTTCCTTTACTACCATAGGCCTCAAAGCGGTCCATATCTCCACTTGCAGATTCTACACAACGAGAGTTTCCAAAGTGCTCTCTGAAAGGGAATGTTCACCTCTGTGACTTGAATGCAATCGTCACAAAGTAGTTTCTGAGAATGCATCTATCTAGTTCTTACGGGAAGATAATTCCTTTTCCACCTCAGGCCTCAAAGCCCTCCAAATATTCACTTGCAGATTCTAGAAAAAGAGTGTTTCAAAGCTTCTCTCTCAAAAGGAAAGTTCAACTCTGTGAGTTGAAAGCAAACATCACAAAGAAGTTTCTGAGAATGCTTCTGTTTAGCTTTTCTGTGAAGATTATCCCGTTTCCAACGAAATCTTCAAAGAGGCCCAAACATCCACTTGCAGATGCCACAGAAAGAGTGTTTGGAAACTGCTGTTTGAAAAGGAACCTTCAACTCTGTGAGTTGAATGCAGTCATCACAAACAAGTTTCTGACAATGCTTCTCTCTAGTTTTTACGTGACGATAATTCGTTTTCCACCACAGGCCTGAAAGCTCTCCAAATGTCCACTTGCAGACCCTATGAAAAGCATGTTTCTCATCTGCTCTATGAAAAGCAACGTGAAGCTCTGTGAGTTGAACACAAACATCACAGAGAAGTTTCTGAGAATGCTTCTGTTTAGTTTTTATGTGAAGATATTCCCGTTTCCAAAGACATCTTCAAAGAGGACCACATATCCACTTGCAGATTCCACAAAAAGAGAGATTCAAAACTGCTCCATCCATAGGAGGGTTCAACTCTCTGAGTTGAATGCAATCGTCACAGAGAAGTTTCTGAGAAGGCTTCTGTCTAGATTTTATTTGAAGATGTACCCTTTACGAACGAAGGCCAAAGAGTGGTCCAAATATCCACTTGCAGATCCTACAAAAAGAGTGATTCAAAGATGAACTATCAAAGGAAGGTTCAACTCTGGGATTTGAATGCAATCATCACAAAGAATTTTGTGAGAATGCTTCCGTTTAGTTAGGTGCAGTTATCCCGTTTCCAACGAAATCCTCAGAGAGGTCCAAATATCCACTCGCAGATTCTACAGAAAGTGTGTTTCAAACCTTCTCCATCCAAAGGAATGTGCAGCTCTGTGTGTTAAACTCAATCATCACAAAGTATTTTCTGAGAATGCTTCTGTCTAGATTGTATGTGAAGCTCTTCCCTTTACTACCATAGGCCTCAAAGCGCTCCAAATCTCCACTAGCCGATTCTACGAGAAGAGTGTTTCCAAACTGCTCTGTCAATAGGAATGCTCCACTCCGTGAGGTGAATGCAATCATCACAAAGTAGTTTCTGAGAAGGCTTCTATCTAGTATTTATGTGGAGATATTTCCTTTTCCACCACAAACCTCACAGCCCTCCCAATGTCCACTTGCAGATTCTAGAAAAAGAGTGTTTCATAGCTGCTCTTTCCGAAGGAAAGTTCAACTCTGGAAGTTGAATACAAACATCACCAAGGAGTTCCTGAGGATGCCTCTGTGTAATTTTTATGTGAAGATGATTCCGTTTCCAACGAAACCTTCAAAGAGGTCTGCATGTCCCCTTGCAGATTCCAGAGAAAGAGAGTTTCAAAACTGCGCTCTCGAAAGGAGTGTTCAACTCTGTGAGTTGAATGCAGTCATCACAGAAAAGTTTCTGAGAATGCTTCTGTCTAGATGTTATGTGAAGATATACCCGTTTCGAATGAAGTCCACAGAGTGGTCCGAATATCCACTTGTAGATCCTGCAAAAAGAGTGTTTCCAACCTGAACTTTCAAAGGAAGATTCAATTCTGGGATTTGAATGCAAACATCACAAGAAGATTCTGAGACTGCTTCTGTTTACTTAGCTGAAATTATCCCGTTTGCAACGAATTCCTCAGACAGGTCCAAATATCCACTTGCAGATTCTACAGAAAGTGTGTTTCGAAACTACTCCATCCCAAGGAAAGTACTGCCCTGTGAGTTCAACTCAATCATCCCAGAGAATTTTCTGAGAAAGCTTCTGTCTTGTTTTTATAGGAAGTTATTTCCTTTACTACGATAGGCCTCAAAGAAGTGCAGTTATCCACTTGCAGTTTCTACAAAAAGAGTGTTTCAAACCTGAACTATCAAAGAAAGGTTCAACACTGTGGGTTGAATGCAAACATCACGAAGAAGGTTCTGAGAATGCTTCTGTTTAGTTCTGTGCAGTTTATCCCGTTTCCAACGAAATCCTCAGGGAGGCCCAAGTATCCGCTTGCAGATCCTACAGATAGTGTGTTTCCAAACTGCTCCATCCAAAGGAATGTTCAGCCCTGTGAGTTAAACTCAGTCGTCACAAAGAGTTTTCTGAGAATGCTGCTGTCTAGTTTTTATATGAAGTTGTTTCCTTTACTACCATAGGCCTCAAAGCGGTCCATATCTCCACTTGCAGATTCTACACAACGAGAGTTTCCAAAGTGCTCTCTGAAAGGGAATGTTCACCTCCGTGACTTGAATGCAATCGTCACAAAGTAGTTTCTGAGAATGCATCTATCTAGTTCTTACGGGAAGATAATTCCTTTTCCACCACAGGCCTCAAAGCCCTGCAAATATCCACTTGCAGATTCTAGAAAAAGAGTGTTTCAAAGCTTCTCTCTCAAAAGGAAAGTTCAACTCTGTGAGTTGAAAGCAAACATCACAAAGAAGTTTCTGAGAATGCTTCTGTTTAGCTTTTCTGTGAAGATTATCCCGTTTCCAACGAAATCTTCAAAGAGGCCCAAACATCCACTTGCAGATGCCACAGAAAGAGTGTTTGGAAACTGCTGTTTGAAAAGGAACCTTCAACTCTGTGAGTTGAATGCAGTCATCACAAACAAGTTTCTGACAATGCTTCTCTCTAGTTTTTACGTGACGATAATTCGTTTTCCACCACAGGCCGGAAATCTCTCCAAATGTCCACTTGCAGACCCTACGAAAAGCATGTTTCTCATCTGCTCTATGAAAAGCAACGTGAAACTCTGTGAGTTGAACACAAACATCACAGAGAAGTTTCTGAGAATGCTTCTGTTTAGTTTTTATGTGAAGATATTCCCGTTTCCAAAGACATCTTCAAAGAGGACCACATATCCACTTGCAGATTCCACAAAAAGAGAGATTCAAAACTGCTCTATCCATAGGAGGGTTCAACTCTTTGAGTTGAATGCAATCGTCACAGAGAAGTTTCTGAGAAGGCTTCTGTCTAGATTTTATTTGAAGATGTACCCGTTTCGAACGAAGGCCAAAGAGTGGTCCAAATATCCACTTTCAGATCCTACAAAAAGAGTGTTTCAAAGCTGAACTATCAAAGGAAGGGTCAACTCTGGGATTTGAATGCAAACATCACAAAGAATTTTGTGAGAATGCTTCCGTTTATTTAGGTGCAGTTATCCCGTTTCCAACGAAATCCTCAGAGAGGTCCAAATATCCACTCGCAGATTCTACAGAAAGTGTGTTTCAAACCTTCTCCATCCAAAGGAATGTTCAGCTCTGTGTGTTAAACTCAATCATCACAAAGTATTTTCTGAGAATGCTTCTGTCTAGATTTTATGTGAAGCTCTTCCCTTTACTACCATAGGCCTCAAAGCGCTCCAAATCTCCACTAGGAGATTCTACAACAAGAGTGTTTCCAAACTGTTCTGTCAATAGGAATGCTCCACTCCGTGAGGTGAATGCAATCATCACAAAGGAGTTTCTGAGAAGGCTTCTATCTAGTATTTATGTGGAGATATTTCCTTTTCCACCACAAACCTCACAGCCCTCCCAATGTCCACTTGCAGATTCTAGAAAAAGAGTGTTTCATAGCTGCTCTTTCCGAAGGAAAGTTCAACTCTGGAAGTTGAATACAAACATCACCAAGGAGTTCCTGAGGATGCTTCTGTGTAATTTTTATGTGAAGATGATTCCGTTTCCAACGAAACCTTCGAAGAGGTCTGCATGTCCCCTTGCAGATTCCAGAGAAAGGGAGTTTCAAAACTGCGCTCTCAAAAGGAGTGTTCAACTCTGTGAGTTGAATGCAGTCATCACAGAAAAGTTTCTGAGAATGCTTCTGTCTAGATGTTATGTGAAGATATAGCCGTTTCGAATGAAGTCCACAGAGTGGTCCGAATATCCACTTGTAGATCCTGCAAAAAGAGTGTTTCCAACCTGAACTTTCAAAGGAAGGTTCAATTCTGGGATTTGAATGCAAACATCACAAGAAGATTCTGAGACTGCTTCTGTTTACTTAGCTGAAATTATCCCGTTTGCAAAGAATTCCTCAGACAGGTCCAAATATCCACTTGCAGATTCTACAGAAAGTGTGTTTCGAAACTACTCCATCCCAAGGAAAGTACTGCTCTGTGAGTTCAACTCAATCATCCCAGAGAATTTTCTGAGAAAGCTTCTGTCTTGTTTTTATAGGAAGTTATTTCCTTTACTACGATAGGCCTCAAAGAAGTGCAGTTATCCACTTGCAGTTTCTACAAAAAGAGTGTTTCAAACGTTAACTATCAAAGAAAGGTTCAACACTGTGGGTTGAATGCAAACATCACGAAGAAGGTTCTGAGAATGCTTCTGTTTAGTTCTGTGCGGTTTATCCCGTTTCCAACGAAATTCTCAGAGAGACCCAAGTATCCGCTTGCAGATCCTACAGATAGTGTGTTTCCAAACTGCTCCATCCAAAGGAATGTTCAGCCCTGTGAGTTAAACTCAGTCGTCACAAAGAGTTTTCTGAGAATGCTGCTGTCTAGTTTTTATATGAAGCTGTTTCCTTTACTACCATAGGCCTCAAAGCGGTCCATATCTCCACTTGCAGATTCTACACAACGAGAGTTTCCAAAGTGCTCTCTGAAAGGGAATGTTCACCTCTGTGACTTGAATGCAATCGTCACAAAGTAGTTTCTGAAAATGCATCTATCTAGTTTTTACGGGAAGTTAATTCCTTTTCCACCACAGGCCTCAAAGCCCTCCAAATATCCACTTGCAGATTCTAGAGAAAGAGTGTTTCAAAGCTTCTCTCTCAAAAGGAAAGTTCAACTCTGTGAGTAGAATGCAAACATCACAAAGAAGTTTCTGACAATGCTTCTGTTTAGCTTTTCTGTGAAGATTATCCCGTTTCCAAAGACATCTTCAAAGAGGTCCAACTATCCAATTGCAGATTCCACAGAAAGTGTGTTTGGAAACTGCTGTTTGAAAGGGAACCTTCAACTCTGTGAGTTGAATGCAATCATCACAAACAAGTTTCTGACAATGCTTCTCTCTAGTTTTTACGTGACGATAATTCGTTTTCCACCACAGGCCTGAAAGCTCTCCAAATGTCCACTTGCAGACCCTACGAAAAGCATGTTTCTCATCTGCTCTATGAAAAGCAACGTGAAGCTCTGTGAGTTGAACACAAACATCACAGAGAAGTTTCTGAGAATGCTTCTGTTTAGTTTTAATGTGAAGATATTCCCGTTTCCAAAGACATCTTCAAAGAGGACCACATATCCACTTGCAGATTCCACAAAAAGAGAGATTCAAAACTGCTCTATCCATAGGAGGGTTCAACGCTTTGAGTTGAATGCAATCGTCACAGAGAAGTTTCTGAGATGGCTTCTGTCTAGATTTTATTTGAAGATGTACCCTTTTCGAACGAAGGCCAAAGAGTGGTCCAAATATCCACCTGCAGATCCTACAAAAAGAGTGTTTCAAAGCTGAACTATCAAAGGAAGGTTCAACTCTGGGATTTGAATGCAAACATCACGAAGAATTTTGTGAGAATGCTTCCGTTTAGTTAGGTGCAGTTATCCCGTTTCCAACGAAATCCTCAGAGAGGTCCAAATATCCACTCGCAGATTCTACAGAAAGTGTGTTTCAAACCTTCTCCATCCAAAGGAATGTTCAGCTCTGTGTGTTAAACTCAATCATCACAAAGTATTTTCTGAGAATGCTTTCTGTCTAGATTTTATGTGAAGCTCTTCCCTTTACTACCATAGGCCTCAAAGCGCTCCAAATCTCCACTAGCAGATTCTACAACAAGAGTGTTTCCAAACTGCTCTGTCAATAGGAATGCTCCACTCCGTGAGGTGAATGCAATCATCACAAAGTAGTTTCTGAGAAGGCTTCTATCTAGTATTTATGAGGAGATATTTCCTTTTCCACCACAAACCTCACAGCCCTCCCAATGTCCACTTGCAGATTCTAGAAAAAGAGTGTTTCAAAGCTTCTCTCTCAAAAGGAAAGTTCAACTCTGTGAGTTGAAAGCAAACATCACAAAGAAGTTTCTGAGAATGCTTCTGTTTAGCTTTTCTGTGAAGATTATCCCGTTTCCAACGAAATCTTCAAAGAGGCCCAAACATCCACTTGCAGATGCCACAGAAAGAGTGTTTGGAAACTGCTGTTTGAAAAGGAACCTTCAACTCTGTGAGTTGAATGCAGTCATCACAAACAAGTTTCTGACAATGCTTCTCTCTAGTTTTTAACGTGACGATAATTCGTTTTCCACCACAGGCCTGAAAGCTCTCCAAATGTTCACTTGCAGACCCTACGAAAAGCATGTTTCTCATCTGCTCTATGAAAAGCAACGTGATACTCTGTGAGTTGAACACAAACATCACAGAGAAGTTTCTGAGAATGCTTCTGTTTAGTTTTTATGTGAAGATATTCCCGTTTCCAAAGACATCTTCAAAGAGGACCACATATCCACTTGCAGATTCCACAAAAAGAGAGATTCAAAACTGCTCTATCCATAGGAGGGTTCAACGCTTTGAGTTGAATGCAATCGTCACAGAGAAGTTTCTGAGAAGGCTTCTGTCTAGATTTTATTTGAAGATGTTCCCTTTTCGAACGAAGGCCAAAGAGTGGTCCAAATATCCACCTGCAGATCCTACAAAAAGAGTGTTTCAAAGCTGAACTATCAAAGGAAGGTTCAACTCTGGGATTTGAATGCAAACATCACAAAGAATTTTGTGAGAATGCTTCCGTTTAGTTAGGTGCAGTTATCCCGTTTCCAACGAAATCCTCAGAGAGGTCCAAATATCCACTCGCAGATTCTACAGAAAGTGTGTTTCAAACCTTCTCCATCCAAAGGAATGTTCAGCTCTGTGTGTTAAACTCAATCATCACAAAGTATTTTCTGAGAATGCTTCTGTCTAGATTTTATGTGAAGCTCTTCCCTTTACTACCATAGGCCTCAAAGCGCTCCAAATCTCCACTAGCCGATTCTACGAGAAGAGTGTTTCCAAACTGCTCTGTCAATAGGAATGCTCCACTCCGTGAGGTGAATGCAATCATCACAAAGTAGTTTCTGAGAAGGCTTCTATCTAGTATTTACGTGGAGATATTTCCTTTTCCACCACAAACCTCACAGCCCTCCCAATGTCCACTTGCAGATTCTAGAAAAAGAGTGTTTCATAGCTGCTCTTTCCGAAGGAAAGTTCAACTCTGGAAGTTGAATACAAACATCACCAAGGAGTTCCTGAGAATGCTTCTGTGTAATTTTTATGTGAAGATGATTCCGTTTCCAACGAAACCTTCAAAGAGGTCTGCATGTCCCCTTGCAGATTCCAGAGAAAGAGAGTTTCAAAACTGCGCTCTCGAAAGGAGTGTTCAACTCTGTGAGTTGAATACAGTCATCACAGAAAAGTTTCTGAGAATGCTTCTGTCTAGATGTTATGTGAAGATATACCCGTTTCGAACGAAGTCCACAGAGTGGTCCGAATATCCACTTGTAGATCCTGCAAAAAGAGTGTTTCCAACCTGAACTTTCAAAGGAAGGTTCAATTCTGGGATTTGAATGCAAACATCACAAGAAGATTCTGAGACTGCTTCTGTTTACTTAGCTGAAATTATCCCGTTTGCAACGAATTCCTCAGACAGGTCCAAATATCCACTTGCAGATTCTACAGAAAGTGTGTTTCGAAACTACTCCATCCCAAGGAAAGTACTGCACTGTGAGTTCAACTCAATCATCCCAGAGAATTTTCTGAGAAAGCTTCTGTCTTGTTTTTATAGGAAGTTATTTCCTTTACTACGATAGGCCTCAAAGAAGTGCAGTTATCCACTTGCAGTTTCTACAAAAAGAGTGTTTCAAACCTGAACTATCAAAGAAAGGTTCAACACTGTGGGTTGAATGCAAACATCACGAAGAAGGTTCTGAGAATGCTTCTGTTTAGTTCTGTGCGGTTTATTCCGTTTCCAACGAAATCCTCAGAGAGGCCCAAGTATCCGCTTGCAGATCCTACAGATAGTGTGTTTCCAAACTGCTCCATCCAAAGGAATGTTCAGCCCTGTGAGTTAAACTCAGTCGTCACAAAGAGTTTTCTGAGAATGCTGCTGTCTAGTTTTTATATGAAGCTGTTTCCTTTACTACCATAGGCCTCAAAGCGGTCCATATCTCCACTTGCAGATTCTACACAACGAGAGTTTCCAAAGTGCTCTGTGAAAGGGAATGTTCACCTCTGTGACTTGAATGCAATCGTCACAAAGTAGTTTCTGAGAATGCATCTATCTAGTTCTTACGGGAAGATAATTCCTTTTCCACCACAGGCCTCAAAGCCCTCCAAATATCCACTTGCAGATTCTAGAAAAAGAGTGTTTCAAAGCTTCTCTCTCAAAAGGAAAGTTCAACTCTGTGAGTTGAAAGCAAACATCACAAAGAAGTTTCTGAGAATGCTTCTGTTTAGCTTTTCTGTGAAGATTATCCCGTTTCCAACGAAATCTTCAAAGAGGCCCAAACATCCACTTGCAGATGCCACAGAAAGAGTGTTTGGAAACTGCTGTTTGAAAAGGAACCTTCAACTCTGTGAGTTGAATGCAGTCATCACAAACAAGTTTCTGACAATGCTTCTCTCTAGTTTTTACGTGACGATAATTCGTTTTCCACCACAGGCCTGAAATCTCTCCAAATGTCCACTTGCAGACCCTACGAAAAGCATATTTCTCATCTGCTCTATGAAAAGCAACGTGAAACTCTGTGAGTTGAACACAAACATCACAGAGAAGTTTCTGAGAATGCTTCTGTTTAGTTTTTATGTGAAGATATTCCCGTTTCCAAAGACATCTTCAAAGAGGACCACATATCCACTTGCAGATTCCACAAAAAGAGAGATTCAAAACTGCTCTATCCATAGGAGGGTTCAACTCTTTGAGTTGAATGCAATCGTCACAGAGAAGTTTCTGAGAAGGCTTCTGTCTAGATTTTATTTGAAGATGTACCCGTTTCGAACGAAGGCCAAAGAGTGGTCCAAATATCCACCTGCAGATCCTACAAAAAGAGTGTTTCAAAGCTGAACTATCAAAGGAAGGTTCAACTCTGGGATTTGAATGCAAACATCACAAAGAATTTTGTGAGAATGCTTCCGTTTAGTTAGGTGCAGTTATCCCGTTTCCAACGAAATCCTCAGAGAGGTCCAAATATCCACTCGCAGGTTCTACAGAAAGTGTGTTTCAAACCTGCTCCATCCAAAGGAATGTTCAGCTCTGTGTGCTAAACTCAATCATCACAAAGTATTTTCTGAGAATGCTTCTGTCTAGATTTTATGTGAAGCTCTTCCCTTTACTACCATAGGCCTCAAAGCGCTCCAAACCTCCACTAGCAGATTCTACAACAAGAGTGTTTCCAAACTGCTCTGTCAATAGGAATGCTCCACTCCGTGAGGTGAATGCAATCATCACAAAGTAGTTTCTGAGAAGGCTTCTATCTAGTATTTATGTGGAGATATTTCCTTTTCCACCACAAACCTCACAGCCCTCCCAATGTCCACTTGCAGATTCTAGAAAAAGAGTGTTTCATAGCTGCTTTTTCCGAAGGAAAGTTCAACTCTGGAAGTTGAATACAAACATGACCAAGGAGTTCCTGAGAATGCTTCTGTGTAATTTTTATGTGAAGATGATTCTGTTTCCAACAAAACCTTCAATGAGGTCTGCATGTCCCCTTGCAGATTCCAGAGAAAGAGAGTTTCAAAACTGCGCTCTCAAAAGGAGTGTTCAACTCTGTGAGTTGAATGCAGTCATCACAGAAAAGTTTCTGAGAATGCTTCTGTCTAGATGTTATGTGAAGATATACCCGTTTCGAACGAAGTCCACAGAGTGGTCCGAATATCCACTTGTAGATCCTGCAAAAAGAGTGTTTCCAACCTGAACTTTCAAAGGAAGGTTCAATTCTGGGATTTGAATGCAAACATCACAAGAAGATTCTGAGACTGCTTCTGTGTAGTTAGCTGAAATTATCCCATTTACATCGAATTCCTCAGACAGGTCCAAATATCCCCTTGCAGATTCTACAGAAAGTGTGTTTCGAAACAACTCCATGCCAAGGAAAGTACAGCTCTGTGAGTTCAACTCAATCATCCCAGAGGATTTTCTGAGAAAGTTTCTGTCTTGTTTTTATATGAAGTTATTTCCTTTACTAGGATAGGCCTCAAAGAAGTGCAATTATCCACTTGCAGTTTCTACAAAAAGAGTGTTTCAAACCCGAAGTATCAAGGAAAGGTTCAAAGCTGTGAGTTGAACGCAAACATCACGAAGAATGTTCTGAGAATGCTTCTGTTTATTTCTGGGCGGTTTATCCCGTTTCCAGCGAAATCCTCAGAGAGGCCCAAATATCCACTGGCAGATTCTACAAGTAGTGTGTTTCGAAACTGCTCCATCCAAAGGAATGTTCAGCCCTGTGAGTTAAACTCAGTCGTCACAAAGAGTTTTCTGAGAATGCTTGCTGTCTAGTTTTTATATGAAGCTGTTTCCTTTACTACCATAGGCCTCAAAGCGGTCCATATCTCCACTTGCAGATTCTACACAACGAGAGTTTCCAAAGTGCTCTCTGAAAGGGAATGTTCACCTCTGTGACTTGAATGCAATCGTCACAAAGTAGTTTCTGAGAATGCATCTATCTAGTTTTTACGGGAAGTTAATTCCTTTTCCACCACAGGCCTCAAAGCCCTCCAAATATCCACTTGCAGATTCTAGAGAAAGAGTGTTTCAAAGCTTCTCTCTCAAAAGGAAAGTTCAACTCTGTGAGTAGAATGCAAACATCACAAAGAAGTTTCTGACAATGCTTCTGTTTAGCTTTTCTGTGAAGAGTATCCCGTTTCCAACGAAATCTTCAAAGAGGCCCAAACATCCACTTGCAGATGCCACAGAAAGAGTGTTTGGAAACTGCTGTTTGAAAAGGAACCTTCAACTCTGTGTGTTGAATGCAGTCATCACAAACAAGTTTCTGACAATGCTTCTCTCTAGTTTTTACGTGACGATAATTCGTTTTCCACCACAGGCCGGAAATCTCTCCAAATGTCCACTTGCAGACCCTACGAAAAGCATGTTTCTCATCTGCTCTATGAAAAGCAACGTGAAACTCTGTGAGTTGAACACAAACATCACAGAGAAGTTTCTGAGAATGCTTCTGTTTAGTTTTAATGTGAAGATATTCCCGTTTCCAAAGACATCTTCAAAGAGGACCACATATCCACTTGCAGATTCCACAAAAAGAGAGATTCAAAACTGCTCTATCCATAGGAGGGTTCAACGCTTTGAGTTGAATGCAATCGTCACAGAGAAGTTTCTGAGAAGGCTTCTGTCTAGATTTTATTTGAAGATGTACCCGTTTCGAACGAAGGCCAAAGAGTGGTCCAAATATCCACCTGCAGATCCTACAAAAAGAGTGTTTCAAAGCTGAACTATCAAAGGAAGGTTCAACTTCTGGGATTTGAATGCAAACATCACAAAGAATTTTGTGAGAATGCTTCCATTTAGTTAGGTGCAGTTATCCCGTTTCCAACGAAATCCTCAGAGAGGTCCAAATATCCACTCGCAGATTCTATAGAAAGTGTGTTTCAAACCTGCTCCATCGCAAAGGTAATGTTCAGCTCTGTGTGTTAAACTCAATCATCACAAAGTATTTTCTGAGAATGCTTCTGTCTAGATTTTATGTGAAGCTCTTCCCTTTACTACCATAGGCCTCAAAGCGCTCCAAATCTCCACTAGCCGATTCTACGAGAAGAGTGTTTCCAAACTGCTCTGTCAATAGGAATGCTCCACTCCGTGAGGTGAATGCAATCATCACAAAGTAGTTTCTGAGAAGGCTTCTAACTAGTATTTATGTGGAGATATTTCCTTTTCCACCACAAACCTCACAGCCCTCCCAATGTCCACTTGCAGATTCTAGAAAAAGAGTGTTTCATAGCTGCTCTTTCCGAAGGAAAGTTCAACTCTGGAAGTTGAATACAAACATCACCAAGGAGTTCCTGAGGATGCTTCTGTGTAATTTTTATGTGAAGATGATTCCGTTTCCAACGAAACCTTCAAAGAGGTCTGCATGTCCCCTTGCAGATTCCAGAGAAAGAGAGTTTCAAAACTGCACTCTCAAAAGGAGTGTTCAACTCTGTGAGTTGAATGCAGTCATCACAGAAAAGTTTCTGAGAATGCTTCTGTCTAGATGTTATGTGAAGATATACCCGTTTCGAACGAAGTCCACAGAGTGGTCCGAATATCCACTTGTAGATCCTGCAAAAAGAGTGTTTCCAACCTGAACTTTCAAAGGAAGGTTCCATTCTGGGATTTGAATGCAAACATCACAAGAAGATTCTGAGACTGCTTCTGTTTACTTAGCTGAAATTATCCCGTTTGCAACGAATTCCTCAGACAGGTCCAAATATCCACTTGCAGATTCTACAGAAAGTGTGTTTCGAAACTACTCCATCCCAAGGAAAGTACTGCTCTGTGAGTTCAACTCAATCTTCCCAGAGAATTTTCTGAGAAAGCTTCTGTCTTGTTTTTATAGGAAGTTATTTCCTTTACTACGATAGGCCTCAAAGAAGTGCAGTTATCCACTTGCAGTTTCTACAAAAAGAGTGTTTCAAACCTGAACTATCAAAGAAAGGTTCAACACTGTGGGTTGAATGCAAACATCACGAAGAAGGTTCTGAGAATGCTTCTGTTTAGTTCTGTGCGGTTTATTCCGTTTCCAACGAAATCCTCAGAGAGGCCCAAGTATCCGCTTGCAGATCCTACAGATAGTGTGTTTCCAAACTGCTCCATCCAAAGGAATGTGCAGCCCTGTGAGTTAAACTCAGTCGTCACAAAGAGTTTTCTGAGAATGCTGCTGTCTAGTTTTTATATGAAGCTGTTTCCTTTACTACCATAGGCCTCAAAGCGGTCCATATCTCCACTTGCAGATTCTACACAACGAGAGTTTCCAAAGTGCTCTCTGAAAGGTAATGTTCACCTCTGTGACTTGAATGCAATCGTCACAAAGTAGTTTCTGAGAATGCATCTATCTAGTTCTTACGGGAAGATAATTCCTTTTCCACCACAGGCCTCAAAGCCCTCCAAATATCCACTTGCAGATTCTAGAAAAAGAGTGTTTCAAAGCTTCTCTCTCAAAAGGAAAGTTCAACTGCTGTGAGTTGAAAGCAAACATCACAAAGAAGTTTCTGAGAATGCTTCTGTTTAGCTTTTCTGTGAAGATTATCCCGTTTCCAACGAAATCTTCAAAGAGGCCCAAGCATCCACTTGCAGATGCCACAGAAAGAGTGTTTGGAAACTGCTGTTTGAAAAGGAACCTTCAACTCTGTGAGTTGAATGCAGTCATCACAAACAAGTTTCTGACAATGCTTCTCTCTAGTTTTTACGTGACGATAATTCGTTTTCCACCACAGGCCTGAAATCTCTCCAAATGTCCACTTGCAGACCCTACGAAAAGCATGTTTCTCATCTGCTGTATGAAAAGCAACGTGAAACTCTGTGAGTTGAACACAAACATCACAGAGAAGTTTCTGAGAATGCTTCTGTTTAGTTTTTATGTGAAGATATTCCCGTTTCCAAAGACATCTTCAAAGAGGACCACATATCCACTTGCAGATTCCAGAAAAAGAGAGATTCAAAACTGCTCTATCCATAGGAGGGTTCAACGCTTTGAGTTGAATGCAATCGTCACAGAGAAGTTTCTGAGAAGGCTTCTGTCTAGATTTTATTTGAAGATGTACCCGTTTCGAATGAAGGCCAAAGAGTGGTCCAAATATCCACCTGCAGATCCTACAAAAAGAGTGTTTCAAAGCTGAACTATCAAAGGACGGTTCAACTCTGGGATTTGAATGCAAACATCACAAAGAATTTTGTGAGAATGCTTCCGTTTAGTTAGGTGCAGTTATCCCGTTTCCCACGAAATCCTCAGAGAGGTCCAAATATCCACTCGCAGATTCTACAGAAAGTGTGTTTCAAACCTTCTCCATCCAAAGGAATGTTCAGCTCTGTGTGTTAAACTCAATCATCACAAAGTATTTTCTCAGAATGCTTCTGTCTAGATTTTATGTGAAGCTCTTCCCTTTACTACCATAGGCCTCAAAGCGCTCCAAATCTCCACTAGGAGATTCTACAACAAGAGTGTTTCCAAACTGCTCTGTCAATAGGAATGCTCCACTCCGTGAGGTGAATGCAATCATAACAAAGTAGTTTCTGAGAAGGCTTCTATCTAGTATTTACGTGGAGATATTTCCTTTTCCACCACAAACCTCACAGCCCTCCCAATGTCCACTTGCAGATTCTAGAAAAAGAGTGTTTCATAGCTGCTCTTTCCGAAGGAAAGTTCAACTCTGGAAGTTGAATACAAACATCACCAAGGAGTTCCTGAGAATGCTTCTGTGTAATTTTTATGTGAAGATGATTCCGTTTCCAACGAAACCTTCAAAGAGGTCTGCATGTCCCCTTGCAGATTCCAGAGAAAGAGAGTTTCAAAACTGCGCTCTCAAAAGGAGTGTTCAACTCTGTGAGTTGAATGCAGTCATCACAGAAAAGTTTCTGAGAATGCTTCTGTCTAGCATGTTATGTGAAGATATACCCGTTTCGAACGAAGTCCACAGAGTGGTCCGAATATCCACTTGTAGATCCTGCAAAAAGAGTGTTTCCAACCTGAACTTTCAAAGGAAGGTTCAATTCTGGGATTTCAATGCAAACATCACAAGAAGATTCTGAGACTGCTTCTGTTTACTTAGCTGAAATTATCCCGTTTGCAACGAATTCCTCAGACAGGTCCAAATATCCACTTGCAGATTCTACAGAAAGTGTGTTTCGAAACTACTCCATCCCAAGGAAAGGACTGCTCTGTGAGTTCAACTCAATCATCCCAGAGAATTTTCTGAGAAAGCTTCTGTCTTGTTTTTATAGGAAGTTATTTCCTTTACTACGATAGGCCTCAAAGAAGTGCAGTTATCCACTTGCAGTTTCTACAAAAAGAGTGTTTCAAACCTGAACTATCAAAGAAAGGTTCAACACTGTGGGTTGAATGCAAACATCACGAAGAAGGTTCTGAGAATGCTTCTGTTTAGTTCTGTGCGGTTTATCCCGTTTCCAACGAAATCCTCAGAGAGGCCCAAGTATCCGCTTGCAGATCCTACAGATAGTGTGTTTCCAAACTGCTCCATGCAAAGGAATGTTCAGCCCTGTGAGTTAAACTCAGTCGTCACAAAGAGTTTTCTGAGAATGCTGCTGTCTAGTTTTTATATGAAGCTGTTTCCTTTACTACCATAGGCCTCAAAGCGGTCCATATCTCCACTTGCAGATTCTACACAACGAGAGTTTCCAAAGTGCTCTGTGAAAGGGAATGTTCACCTCTGTGACTTGAATGCAATCGTCACAAAGTAGTTTCTGAGAATGCATCTATCTAGTTCTTACGGGAAGATCATTCCTTTTCCACCTCAGGCCTCAAAGCCCTCCAAATATCCACTTGCAGATTCTAGAAAAAGAGTGTTTCAAAGCTTCTCTCTCAAAAGGAAAGTTCAACTCTGTGAGTTGAAAGCAAACATCACAAAGAAGTTTCTGAGAATGCTTCTGTTTAGCTTTTCTGTGAAGATTATCCCGTTTCCAACGAAATCTTCAAAGAGGCCCAAACATCCACTTGCAGATGCCACAGAAAGAGTGTTTGGAAACTGCTGTTTGAAAAGGAACCTTCAACTCTGTGAGTTGAATGCAGTCATCACAAACAAGTTTCTGACAATGCTTCTCTCTAGTTTTTACGTGACGATAATTCGTTTTCCACCACAGGCCTGAAAGCTCTCCAAATGTCCACTTGCAGACCCTACGAAAAGCATGTTTCTCATCTGCTCTATGAAAAGCAACGTGAAACTCTGTGAGTTGAACACAAACATCACAGAGAAGTTTCTGAGAATGCTTCTGTTTAGTTTTTATGTGAAGATATTCCCGTTTCCAAAGACATCTTCAAAGAGGACCACACATCCACTTGCAGATTCCACAAAAAGAGAGATTCAAAACTGCTCTATCCATAGGAGGGTCCAACGCTTTGAGTTGAATGCAATCATCACAGAGAAGGTTCTCAGAAGGCTTCTGTCTAGATTTTATTTGAAGATGTACCCGTTTCGAACGAAGGCCAAAGAGTGGTCCAAATATCCACTTGCAGATCCTACAAAAAGAGTGTTTCAAAGCTGAACTATCAAAGGAAGGGTCAACTCTGGGATTTGAATGCAAACATCACAAAGAATTTTGTGAGAATGCTTCCGTTTAGTTAGGTGCAGTTATCCGGTTTCCAACGAAATCCTCAGAGAGGTCCAAATATCCACTCGCAGATTCTACAGAAAGTGTGGTTCAAACCTTCTCCATCCAAAGGAATGTTCAGCTCTGTGTGTTAAACTCAATCATCACAAAGTATTTTCTGAGAATGCTTTCCGTCTAGATTTTATGTGAAGCTCTTCCCTTTACTACCATAGGCCTCAAAGCGCTCCAAATCTCCACTAGCCGATTCTACAAGAAGAGTGTTTCCAAACTGCTCTGTCAATAGGAATGCTCCACTCCGTGAGGTGAATGCAATCATCACAAAGTAGTTTCTGAGAAGGCTTCTATCTAGTATTTATGTGGAGATATTTCCTTTTCCACCACAAACCTCACAGCCCTCCCAATGTCCACTTGCAGATTCTAGAAAAAGAGTGTTTCATAGCTGCTCTTTCCGAAGGAAAGTTCAACTCTGGAAGTTGAATACAAACATCACCAAGGAGTTCCTGAGAATGCTTCCGTGTAATTTTTATGTGAAGATGATTCCGTTTCCAACGAAACCTTCAAAGAGGTCTGCATGTCCCCTTGCAGATTCCAGAGAAAGAGAGTTTCAAAACTGCGCTCTCAAAAGGAGTGTTCAACTCTCTGAGTTGAATGCAGTCATCACAGAAAAGTTTCTGAGAATGCTTCTGTCTAGATGTTATGTGAAGATATACCCGTTTCGAACGAAGTCCACAGAGTGGTCCGAATATCCACTTGTAGATCCTGCATAAAGAGTGTTTCCAACCTGAACTTTCAAAGGAAGGTTCAATTCTGGGATTTGAATGCAAACATCACAAGAAGTTTCTGAGACTGCTTCTGTTTACTTAGCTGAAATTATCCCGTTTGCAACGAATTCCTCAGACAGGTCCAAATATCCACTTGCAGATTCTACAGAAAGTGTGTTTCGAAACTACTCCATCCCAAGGAAAGTACTGCTCTGGTGAGTTCAACTCAATCATCCCAGAGAATTTTCTGAGAAAGCTTCTGTCTTGTTTTTATAGGAAGTTATTTCCTTTAATACGATAGGCCTCAAAGAAGTGCAGTTATCCACTTGCAGTCTCTACAAAAAGAGTGTTTCAAACCTGAACTCTCAAAGAAAGGTTCAACACTGTGGGTTGAATGCAAACGTCATGAAGAAGGTTCTGAGAATGCTTCTGTTTAGTTCTGTGCGGTTTATCCCGTTTCCAACGCAATCCTCAGAGAGGCCCAAGTATCCGCTTGCAGATCCTACAGATAGTGTGTTTCCAAACTGCTCCATCCAAAGGAATGTTCAGCTCTGTGAGTTAAACTCAGTCGTCACAAAGAGTTTTCTGAGAATGCTGCTGTCTAGTTTTTATATGAAGCTGTTTCCTTTACTACCATAGGCCTCAAAGCGGTCCATATCTCCACTTGCAGATTCTACACAACGAGAGTTTCCAAAGTGCTCTCTGAAAGGGAATGTTCACCTCTGTGACTTGAATGCAATCGTCACAAAGTAGTTTCTGAGAATGCATCTATCTAGTTCTTACGGGAAGATAATTCCTTTTCCACCACAGGCCTCAAAGCCCTCCAAATATGCACTTGCAGATGGTAGAAAAAGAGTGTTTCAAAGCTTCTCTCTCAAAAGGAAAGTTCAACTCTGTGAGTTGAAAGCAAACATCACAAAGAAGTTTCTGAGAATGCTTCTGTTTAGCTTTTCTGTGAAGATTATCCCGTTTCCAACGAAATCTTCAAAGAGGCCCAAACATCCACTTGCAGATGCCACAGAAAGAGTGTTTGGAAACTGCTGTTTGAAAAGGAACCTTCAACTCTGTGAGTGGAATGCAGTCATCACAAACAAGTTTCTGACAATGCTTCCCTCTAGTTTTTACGTGACGATAATTCGTTTTCCACCACAGGCCTGAAATCTCTCCAAATGTCCACTTGCAGACCCTACGAAAAGCATGTTTCTCATCTGCTCTATGAAAAGCAACGTGAAACTCTGTGAGTTGAACACAAACATCACAGAGAAGTTTCTGAGAATGCTTCTGTTTAGTTTTTATGTGAAGATATTCCCGTTTCCAAAGACATCTTCAAAGAGGACCACAT
Source organism: Homo sapiens (assembly GCF_000001405.40). Taxonomy (NCBI): domain Eukaryota; kingdom Metazoa; phylum Chordata; class Mammalia; order Primates; family Hominidae; genus Homo; species Homo sapiens. Next base: position 23,122,781 of record NC_000017.11, on the reverse strand, counting down.
ATCCACTTGCAGATTCCACAAAAAGAGAGATTCAAAACTGCTCTATCCATAGGGAGGGTTCAACGCTTTGAGTTGAATGCAATCGTCACAGAGAAGTTTCTGAGAAGGCTTCTGTCTAGATTTCATTTGAAGATGTACCCGTTTCGAACGAAGGCCAAAGAGTGGTCCAAATATCCACTTGCAGATCCTACAAAAAGAGTGTTTCAAAGCTGAACTATCAAAGGAAGGTTCAACTCTGGGATTTGAATGCAAACATCACAAAGAATTTTGTGAGAATGCTTCCGTTTAGTTAGGTGCAGTTATCCCGTTTCCAACGAAATCCTCAGAGAGGTCCAAATATCCACTCGCAGATTCTACAGAAAGTGTGTTTCAAACCTTCTCCATCCAAAGGAATGTTCAGCTCTGTGTGTTAAACTCAATCATCACAAAGTATTTTCTGAGAATGCTTCTGTCTTGATTTTATGTGAAGCTCTTCCCTTTACTACCATAGGCCTCAAAGCGCTCCAAATCTCCACTAGCAGATTCTACAACAAGAGTGTTTCCAAACTGCTCTGTCAATAGGAATGCTCCACTCCGTGAGGTGAATCCAATCATCACAAAGTAGTTTCTGAGAAGGCTTCTATCTAGTATTTACGTGGAGATATTTCCTTTTCCACCACAATCCTCACAGCCCTCCCAATGTCCACTTGCAGATTCTAGAAAAAGAGTGTTTCATAGCTGCTCTTTCCGAAGGAAAGTTCAACTCTGGAAGTTGAATACAAACATCACCAAGGAGTTCCTGAGAATGCTTCTGTGTAATTTTTATGTGAAGATGATTCCGTTTCCAACGAAACCTTCAAAGAGGTCTGCATGTCCCCTTGCAGATTCCAGAGAAAGGGTTTCAAAACTGCGCTCTCAAAAGGAGTGTTCAACTCTGTGAGTTGAATGCAGTCATCACAGAAAAGTTTCTGAGAATGCTTCTGTCTAGATGTTATGTGAAGATATACCCGTTTCGATCGAAGTCCACAGAGTGGTCCGAATATCCACTTGTAGACCCTGCAAAAAGAGTGTTTCAAACCTGCACTTTCAAAGGATGGTTCAATTCTGGGATTTGAATGCAAACATCACAAGAAGATTCTGAGACTGCTTCTGTTTACTTAGCTGAAATTATCCCGTTTGCAACGAATTCCTCAGACAGGTCCAAATATCCACTTGCAGATTCTACAGAAAGTGTGTTTCGAAACTACTCCATCCCAAGGAAAGTACTGCTCTGTGAGTTCAACTCAATCATCCCAGAGAATTTTCTGAGAAAGCTTCTGTCTTGTTTTTATAGGAAGTTATTTCCTTTACTACGATAGGCCTCAAAGAAAGTGCAGTTATCCACTTGCAGTTTCTACAAAAAGAGTGTTTCAAACCTGAACTATCAAAGAAAGGTTCAACACTGTGGGTTGAATGCAAACGTAACGAAGAAGGTTCTGAGAATGCTTCTGTTTAGTTCTGTGCGGTTTATCCCGTTTCCAACGAAATCCTCAGGGAGGCCCAAGTATCCGCTTGCAGATCCTACAGATAGTGTGTTTCCAAACTGCTCCATCCAAAGGAATGTTCAGCCCTGTGAGTTAAACTCAGTCGTCACAAAGAGTTTTCTGAGAATGCTGCTGTCTAGTTTTTATATGAAGCTGTTTCCTTTACTACCATAGGCCTCAAAGCAGTCCATATCTCCACTTGCAGATTCTACACAACGAGAGTTTCCAAAGTGCTCTGTGAAAGGGAATGTTCACCTCTGTGACTTGAATGCAATCGTCACAAAGTACTTTCTGAGAATGCATCTATCTAGTTCTTGTGGGAAGATAATTCCTTTTCCACCACAGGCCTCAAAGCGCTCCAAATATCCACTTGCAGATTCAAGAAAAAGAGTGTTTCAAAGCTTCTCTCTCAAAAGGAAAGTTCAACTCTGTGAGTTGAAAGCAAACATCACAAAGAAGTTTCTGAGAATGCTTCTGTTTAGCTTTTCTGTGAAGATTATCCCGTTTCCAACGAAATCTTCAAAGAGGCCCAAACATCCACTTGCAGATGCCACAGAAAGAGTGTTTGGAAACTGCTGTTTGAAAAGGAACCTTCAACTCTGTGAGTTGAATGCAGTCATCACAAACAAGTTTCTGACAATGCTTCCCTCTAGTTTTTACGTGACGATAATTCGTTTTCCACCACAGGCCTGAAATCTCTCCAAATGTCCACTTGCAGACCCTACGAAAAGCATGTTTCTCATCTGCTCTATGAAAAGCAACGTGAAACTCTGTTATTTGGACACAAACATCACAGAGAAGTTTATGAGAATGCTTCTGTTTAGTTTTTATGTGAAGATATTCCCGTTTCCAAAGACATCTTCAAAGAGGACCACATATCCACTTGCAGATTCCACAAAAAGAGAGATTCAAAACTGCCCTATCCATAGGAGGGTTCAACGCCTTCAGTTGAATGCAATCATCACAGAGAAGTTTCTGAGAAGGCTTCTGTCTAGATTTTATTTGAAGATGTACCCATTTCGAACGAAGGCCAAAGAGTGGTCCAAATATCCACCTGCAGATCCTACAAAAAGAGTGTTTCAAAGCTGAACTATCAAAGGAAGGTTCAACTCTGGGATTTGAATGCAAACATCACAAAGAATTTTGTGAGAATGCTTCCGTTTAGTTAGGTGCAGTTATCCCGTTTCCAACGAAATCCTCAGAGAGGTCCAAATATCCACTCGCAGATTCTACAGAAAGTGTGTTTCATACCTTCTCCATCCAAAGGAATGTTCAGCTCTGTGTGTTAAACTCAATCATCACAAAGTATTTTCTGAGAATGCTTCTGTCTAGATTTTATGTGAAGCTCTTCCCTTTACTACCATAGGCCTCAAAGCGCTCCAAATCTCCACTAGGAGATTCTACAACAAGAGTGTTTCCAAACTGCTCTGTCAATAGGAATGCTCCACTCCGTGAGGTGAATGCAATCATCACAAAGTAGTTTCTGAGAAGGCTTCTATCTAGTATTTATGTGGAGATATTTCCTTTTCCACCACAAACCTCACAGCCCTCCCAATGTCCACTTGCAGATTCTAGAAAGAGAGTGTTTCATAGCTGCTCTTTCCGAAGGAAAGTTCAACTCTGGAAGTTGAATACAAACATCACCAAGGAGTTACCTGAGGATGCCTCTGGGTAATTTTTATGTGAAGATGATTCCGTTTCCAACGAAACCTTCAAAGAGGTCTGCATGTCCCCTTGCAGATTCCAGAGAAAGAGAGTTTCAAAACTGCGCTCTCAAAAGGAGTGTTCAACTCTGTGAGTTGAATGCAGTCATCACAGAAAAGTTTCTGAGAATGCTTCTGTCTAGATGTTATGTGAAGATATACCCGTTTCGAACGAAGTCCACAGAGTGGTCCGAATATCCACTTGTAGATCCTGCAAAAAGAGTGTTTCCAACCTGAACTTTCAAAGGAAGGTTCAATTCTGGGATTTGAATGCAAACATCACAAGAAGATTCTGAGACTGCTTCTGTTTACTTAGCTGAAATTATCCCGTTTGCAACGAATTCCTCAGACAGGTCCAAATATCCACTTGCAGATTGTACAGAAAGTGTGTTTCGAAACTACTCCATCCCAAAGAAAGTACTGCTCTGTGAGTTCAACTCAATCATCCCAGAGAATTTTCTGAGAAAGCTTCTGTCTTGTTTTTATAGGAAGTTATTTCCTTTACTACGATAGGCCTCAAAGAAGTGCAGTTATCCACTTGCAGTTTCTACAAAAAGAGTGTTTCAAACCTGAACTATCAAAGAAAGGTTCAACACTGTGGGTTGAATGCAAACGTAACGAAGAAGGTTCTGAGAATGCTTCTGTTTCGTTCTGTGCGGTTTATCCCGTTTCCAACGAAATCCTCAGAGAGGCCCAAGTATCCGCTTGCAGATCCTACAGATAGTGTGTTTCCAAACTGCTCCATCCAAAGGAATGTTCAGCCCTGTGAGTTAAACTCAGTCGTCACAAAGAGTTTTCTGAGAATGCTGCTGTCTAGTTTTTATATGAAGCTGTTTCCTTTACTACCATAGGCCTCAAAGCGGTCCATATCTCCACTTGCAGATTCTACACAACGAGAGTTTCCAAAGTGCTCTCGAAAGGGAATGTTCACCTCTGTGACTTGAATGCAATCGTCACAAAGTAGTTTCTGAGAATGCATCTATCTAGTTCTTACGGGAAGATAATTCCTTTTCCACCACAGGCCTCAAAGCCCTGCAAATATCCACTTGCAGATTCTAGAAAAAGAGTGTTTCAAAGCTTCTCTCTCAAAAGGAAAGTTCAACTCTGTGAGTTGAAAGCAAACATCACAAAGAAGTTTCTGGGAATGCTTCTGTTTAGCTTTTCTGTGAAGATTATCCCGTTTCCAACGAAATCTTCAAAGAGGCCCAAACATCCACTTGCAGATGCCACAGAAAGAGTGTTTGGAAACTGCTGTTTGAAAAGGAACCTTCAACTCTGTGAGTTGAATGCAGTCATCACAAACAAGTTTCTGACAATGCTTTCCCTCTAGTTTTTACGTGACGATAATTCGTTTTCCACCACAGGCTTGAAATCTCTCCAAATGTCCACTTGCAGACCCTACGAAAAGCATGTTTCTCATCTGCTCTATGAAAAGCAACGTGAAACTCTGTGATTTGGACACAAACATCACAGAGAAGTTTCTGAGAATGCTTCTGTTTAGTTTTTATGTGAAGATATTCCCGTTTCCAAAGACATCTTCAAAGAGGACCACATATCCACTTGCAGATTCCACAAAAAGAGAGATTCAAAACTGCTCTATCCATAGGAGGGTTCAACGCTTTGAGTTGAATGCAATCGTCACAGAGAAGTTTCTGAGAAGGCTTCTGTCTAGATTTTATTTGAAGATGTACCCGTTTCGAACGAAGGCCAAAGAGTGGTCCAAATATCCACCTGCAGAACCTACAAAAAGAGTGTTTCAAAGCTGAACTATCAAAGGAAGGTTCAACTCTGGGATTTGAATGCAAACATCACAAAGAATTTTGTGAGAATGCTTCCGTTTAGTTATGTGCAGTTATCCCGTTTCCAACGAAATCCTCCGAGAGGTCCAAATATCCACTCGCAGATTCTACAGAAAGTGTGTTTCAAACCTTCTCCATCCAAAGGAATGTTCAGCTCTGTGTGTTAAACTCAATCATCACAAAGTATTTTCTGAGAATGCTTCTGTCTAGATTTTATGTGAAGCTCTTCCCTTTACTACCATAGGCCTCAAAGCGCTCCAAATCTCCACTAGCCGATTCTACAAGAAGAGTGTTTCCAAACTGCTCTGTCAATAGGAATGCTCCACTCCGTGAGGTGAATGCGATCATCACAAAGTAGTTTCTGAGAAGGCTTCTATCTAGTATTTATGTGGAGATATTTCCTTTTCCACCACAAACCTCACAGCCCTCCCAATGTCCACTTGCAGATTCTAGAAAAAGAGTGTTTCATAGCTGCTCTTTCCGAAGGAAAGTTCACCTCTGGAAGTTGAATACAAACATCACCAAGGAGTTCCTGAGGATGCTTCTGTGTAATTTTTATGTGAAGATGATTCCGTTTCCAACGAAACCTTCAAAGAGGTCTGCATGTCCCCTTGCAGATTCCAGAGAAAGAGAGTTTCAAAACTGCGCTCTCAAAAGGAGTGTTCAACTCTGTGAGTTGAATGCAGTCATCACAGAAAAGTTTCTGAGAATGCTTCTGTCTAGATGTTATGTGAAGATATACCGGTTTCGAACGAAGTCCACAGAGTGGTCCGAATATCCACTTGTAGATCCTGCAAAAAGAGTGTTTCCAACCTGAACTTTCAAAGGAAGGTTCAATTCTGGGATTTGAATGCAAACATCACAAGAAGATTCTGAGACTGCTTCTGTTTACTTAGCTGAAATTATCCCGTTTGCAACGAATTCCTCAGACAGGTCCAAATATCCACTTGCAGATTCTACAGAAAGTGTGTTTCGAAACTACTCCATCCCAAGGAAAGTACTGCTCTGTGAGTTCAACTCAATCATCCCAGAGAATTTTCTGAGAAAGCTTTCTGTCTTGTTTTTATAGGAAGTTATTTCCTTTACTACGATAGGCCTCAAAGAAGTGCAGTTATCCACTTGCAGTTTCTACAAAAAGAGTGTTTCAAACCTGAACTATCAAAGAAAGGTTCAACACTGTGGGTTGAATGCAAACATCACGAAGAAGGTTCTGAGAATGCTTCTGTTTAGTTCTGTGCGGTTTATCCCGTTTCCAACGAAATCGTCAGGGAGGCCCAAGTATCCGCTTGCAGATCCTACAGATAGTGTGTTTCCAAACTGCTCCATCCAAAGGAATGTTCAGCCCTGTGAGTTAAACTCAGTCGTCACAAAGAGTTTTCTGAGAATGCTGCTGTCTAGTTTTTATATGAAGCTGTTTCCTTTACTACCATAGGCCTCAAAGCGGTCCATATCTCCACTTGCAGATTCTACACAACGAGAGTTTCCAAAGTGCTCTCTGAAAGGGAATGTTCACCTCTGTGACTTGAATGCAATCGTCACAAAGTAGTTTCTGAGAATGCATCTATCTAGTTCTTACGGGAAGATAATTCCTTTTCCACCTCAGGCCTCAAAGCCCTCCAAATATCCACTTGCAGATTCTAGAAAAAGAGTGTTTCAAAGCTTCTCTCTCAAAAGGAAAGTTCAACTCTGTGAGTTGAAAGCAAACATCACAAAGAAGTTTCTGAGAATGCTTCTGTTTAGCTTTTCTGTGAAGATTATCCCGTTTCCAACGAAATCTTCAAAGAGGCCCAAACATCCACTTGCAGATGCCACAGAAAGAGTGTTTGGAAACTGCTGTTTGAAAAGGAACCTTCAACTCTGTGAGTTGAATGCAGTCATCACAAACAAGTTTCTGACAATCCTTCTCTCTAGTTTTTACGTGACGATAATTCGTTTTCCACCACACGCCTGAAATCTCTCCAAATGTCCACTTGCAGACCCTACGAAAAGCTTGTTTCTCATCTGCTCTATGAAAAGCAACGTGAAACTCTGTGAGTTGAACACAAACATCACAGAGAAGTTTCTGAGAATGCTTCTGTTTAGTTTTTATGTGAAGATATTCCCGTTTCCAAAGACATCTTCAAAGAGGACCACATATCCACTTGCAGATTCCACAAAAAGAGAGATTCAAAACTGCTCTATCCATAGGAGGGTTCAACGCTTTGAGTTGAATGCAATCGTCACAGAGAAGTTTCTGAGAAGGCTTCTGTCTAGATTTTATTTGAAGATGTACCCTTTTCGAACGAAGGCCAAAGAGTGGTCCAAATATCCACCTGCAGATCCTACAAAAAGAGTGTTTCAAAGCTGAACTATCAAAGGAAGGTTCAACTCTGGGATTTGAATGCAAACATCACAAAGAATTTTGTGAGAATGCTTCCGTTTAGTTAGGTGCAGTTATCCCGTTTCCAACGAAATCCTCAGAGAGGTCCAAATATCCACTCGCAGATTCTACAGAAAGTGTGTTTCAAACCTTCTCCATCCAAAGGAATGTTCAGCTCTGTGTGCTAAACTCAATCATCACAAAGTATTTTCTGAGAATGCTTCTGTCTAGATTTTATGTGAAGCTCTTCCCTTTACTACCATAGGCCTCAAAGCGCTCCAAATCTCCACTAGCCGATTCTACAAGAAGAGTGTTTCCAAACTGCTCTGTCAATAGGAATGCTCCACTCCGTGAGGTGAATGCAATCATCACAAAGTAGTTTCTGAGAAGGCTTCTATCTAGTAGTTACGTGGAGATATTTCCTTTTCCACCACAAACCTCACAGCCCTCCCAATGTCCACTTGCAGATTCTAGAAAAAGAGTGTTTCATAGCTGCTCTTTCCGAAGGAAAGTTCAACTCTGGAAGTTGAATACAAACATCACCAAGGAGTTCCTGAGAATGCTTCTGTGTAATTTTTATGTGAAGATGATTCCGTTTCCAACGAAACCTTCAAAGAGGTCTGCATGTCCCCTTGCAGATTCCAGAGAAAGAGAGTTTCAAAACTGCGCTCTCAAAAGGAGTGTTCAACTCTGTGAGTTGAATGCAGTCATCACAGAAAAGTTTCTGAGAATGCTTCTGTCTAGATGTTATGTGAAGATATACCCGTTTCGAACGAAGTCCACAGAGTGGTCCGAATATCCACTTGTAGATCCTGCAAAAAGAGTGTTTCCAACCTGAACTTTCAAAGGAAGGTTCAATTCTGGGATTTGAATGCAAACATCACAAGAAGATTCTGAGACTGCTTCTGTTTACTTAGCTGAAATTATCCCGTTTGCAACGAATTCCTCAGACAGGTCCAAATATCCACTTGCAGATTCTACAGAAAGTGTGTTTCGAAACTACTCCATCCCAAGGAAAGTACTGCTCTGTGAGTTCAGGTCAATCATCCCAGAGAATTTTCTGAGAAAGCTTCTGTCTTGTTTTTATAGGAAGTTATTTCCTTTACTACGATAGGCCTCAAAGAAGTGCAGTTATCCACTTGCAGTTTCTACAAAAAGAGTGTTTCAAACCTGAACTATCAAAGAAAGGTTCAACACTGTGGGTTGAATGCAAACATCACGAAGAAGGTTCTGAGAATGCTTCTGTTTAGTTCTGTGCGGTTTATCCCGTTTCCAACGCAATCCTCAGAGAGGCCCAAGTATCCGCTTGCAGATCCTACAGATAGTGTGTTTCCAAACTGCTCCATCCAAAGGAATGTTCAGCCCTGTGAGTTAATCTCAGTCGTCACAAAGAGTTTTCTGAGAATGCTGCTGTCTAGTTTTTATATGAAGCTGTTTCCTTTACTACCATCGGCCTCAAAGCGGTCCATATCTCCACTTGCAGATTCTACACAACGAGAGTTTCCAAAGTGCTCTCTGAAAGGGAATGTTCACCTCTGTGACTTGAATGCAATCGTCACAAAGTAGTTTCTGAGAATGCATCTGTGTAGTTCTTATATGAAGATATTTCCTTTTCCACCATAGGCCTCAAACTGCCTACATATTTCCCTTTGCAGATTCTGCAAAAAGACTGTTTCCAAACTGCTCCATGAAAATAAATGTTCAAATCTCTGTGATGAATGCATACATCACAAAAAGTT
>NC_000017.11:22042061-22089188 GCF_000001405.40 Homo sapiens | reverse complement strand
TACTCAGGCTCCTGGAGGAGGGCAGCCTTGGTGGGCCCAGCAATTCCTGGCCAGCTGGACTTGGCCAGGGGCCGGTTTCAGTAAAGGCACTTACTCCCACCCCAGGCCCCAGTTCCTGGCCAGCTTTTGCCAGAAGGAGAGGTTGGACTTTGGAAGGTGGGTGTGAGTGTCTTCAATGAAACTGATCCCTGACACCCAGTCACCAGCATAACGAGGTGAGGCTCTAATGGTTCCAATCCCTGAGTCCTGTTTTGGGTTTTTCTTGCTTTGCCTGCCCAGCTGCTCCAAGCCAGGCTGAAGGAGGAGAAGGAGTCGCCGCCTGTGGTAAGGTCGAGCAGATGACGTGGCTCTGCAGCTTGCCTCATGCAGTTGGTGTTGGAGATGGAGACCACAGCTCGACTGGAGCGGTAGAAGGGCACCCACGGGGGCCTGGTGGTAGGATCCTGGTAGGGTGGGCTGGTACGTTGAGGATGACTGCTTGTATTGGCATCGGCACTAGTGGTGGTAGCAGTAGGAAGTCTGGGGGCCGGGAAGGGGGAGTAGGAGCACTGCAGGGCCCATCCCGTTCTGGGGAGGGGAGGAACCTGTGGGTGCTGTAACGAAGGCCTCGGTGGCAGTGGTGGTGGTACACCTAGGGCAAAGAGGAGTCCTCCCCCTTCTGCAATCTCTGGAGTGTGCCCTCCTCCTGCTGGTGCCAGAGTTAGGCGTGAGTGGCAGCATTATCTCATTCTTAACAAAATTTAGAGGGTGACTATTTGTGTATCCTTTTGCTTGTTTTTTGTTGTGATACTCTTGGAGTTACTGAAATTTTATGAATCGAGGAGGGGATAAAAAGTGTCATATGATAGGCCTTCTAATTCCCACACCTGTTCTTTTTCCTTTCTTCCATTGTGTATTTTCTTTGCATTTTCTTGTTCCTCTTCATTTTCTTTTGCTACTGCTTCTATTTCATGTTTGTATTCTTGTTTCTCCTCCTGTTTTTGTATTTTTATGCCAAGCAATAGCCTTAACAAACCAAAACTGAGTTAAAAATAAAATACTTGTCACTGTTGTGTTTTTTAAATAACTGATCCCTTACTATGTTTTAGAGATGAGGAAAAAAAAATCAGTTGTATAATTAGTTACTTGAATAGCTATGCTTTCATAATTGTGTTAGCCCACTTATGCCTAGTGTTCCATGCTAAGCATGTGGAAATTATTTATATCCTCCTGTTAAATGTCATCGACAAGGTCTGATTTTTCACTTATGCAAAAATTCAAAAAATTGCAACCTCTGGCATAAATGGACTAATGTGTTGTGTTATTCAAGGAATCAAAAAAATGAAGCATCACATAAAGTATTGGTAGCAAACAGCCATTTCATCTCAGTCACATATTTTTTTCTGGAGCTATCCAAGAGTCACAGGGGTAATAAGTTCTAATTTATGAGATGATTAAGTGAACCATATTCCCTTCATTTTTTTTTCTGCCACCATTTTCAAGAGTATTGTCATCTGCATGAGCAAAGGGTTCATCACCACATCTTTGCAAGAGGAAAAAGAGAGGGGAGAATCGTGTATAATGTTGTAAGGCAAACATTCACAACCAAAAACAAGGTTTTATTAACTTTCGCCTTTAAGAACCTGCAGTGTTTAGCCCTCTTTGATTCCTAGTATTATTACCTTTGGTATGAACTCTTTTATTAAACTGATCATTCTAGAAGTTTATGCATTTTGTATCATTTTTCAAGCCAACAGAAATGTGTAATGCCTATAATTCTGACACTTTAGTTATTTTTAAGGCTATGAGCATGTAAGATACTGTTGGTATATGGAAGAATATGTATAAATACCACTAGGTAGCTTATTTTGGAGAGATAGTACCTAAATTTTTGTCCAGAGTAGATTGGTTGCAGTTTCTTAGGTGTGTTTCTTAATACTTTGCCTCAGTGTTTTAAAGCATGTAGAAATTTGAATACAGTTTAACTGCATATAGTTCTTTGTTTATAGATTTAACATTTCTAAAGACTAAAGACATCACAGCTCCCTTTAAGATTCAGTAATATTAATAAAATTTTAGAAATATAGGGTTAGAATCCAACAAATTCAGAGGAAAATTGTTAAATTATATAGCTGTAGAGCAGGAATGAAACCCAGGTTCTAAGCTCTAAGGGGGCCATGAGGTACCATACAGGTGCATCAGTGACTGGGCATAGATTCAGCAAAATTACAGGATGCTTAAGAGAGTGAGCTGTGGAGCCCAACTCTATGTAACATGAATTTTTAAACTTCATGCTGCCTCAGTTTATCCATCTTTACAGTAGGGACTGTAGTAAGTTTTTCTTTTTCTGCTCAGTTGTGTGTCTTGTTGCCATCTGTTCCCTAGTCTGCCTTGTTGCCACTGTTCCCTAGTCTGTCTTGTTGCCACTCAGTGCCCACATGAGAGGATCTAAGGTAATTTCTGACAGGCTGGGACTCCTTAAAGAAAAACAGAAGGTGCTACAAAACCCATCTTAGGAGAAACCTCTGTTGTCCTCATGGAACCCCAACAACTTCAGGCAGACAGGTCTCTCTCAAAATCTAAGGCTCTCCTCTGTTTTGTTTTGCGTTATCTGACCTTTTAGGTTTGGGTGGGCATCAGAAATCAGTCGGGGAGAGAGATCTAAAGAAAGTTGTGGATATGAAGATGTATTTATGGATGGTAAGAAAAGTTATGATGGAAAGAAATGTTATATGAGAGAGGATCTTGTATGGCAAATTTTTGTCCTAAAGTAGAATGACTAATTATGAAAGAGGGAAATACAGGAAAAGTCAGAAAGTTCATGTCATAGATGGTCTGTGGAATTTGTGTTAGGGTTCATAAAATGAGAAAGAAAAACTTACCACTGCTAGATCTTTTCCTGTCTAGAAGTGTTGTGTATATGATGTATATATAAAGGAGCCCTAATTACTTGGCTTAGAAGAAAAGGAAGGCTCTTAAATATTTTGTCAGAAAAATAGAATCTCTAATGCCTTTTATTTCATGTGACTTCAGTAATCTTTGGGAAATGAAGACAGTGTTAAAATCATTTTTTAGTAGAAACAGCGTTTCTCTGTATTGGTCAGGCTGGTCTCGAACTCCTGACCTCAGGTGATCCTCCTGCCTCGGCCTCCCAGAGTGCTGGGATTACAGGCATGGGCCACTGCACCTGGCCTACAAATAGGTTAAATTATTTTATAAATTAGCTGTTGTTTGTTTTGCCTACTTCTGGATTTTTTTTTAAGTATGAAGGATTTCAATTGTTATATTAATATAAAAGCTTAGATAAATAGCACAAACATGAATTTTTTTTTTGACAGAATCTTGCTCTGTTGCCCAAGCTGGAGTGCAGTGGCACAATCTCAGCTCACTGCAACCTCCACTTCCCAGGTTCAAGCTATTCTCGTGCTCAGCCTCCCAAGTAGCTGGGATTACAGGCATATGACACCATGCCTGGCTAATTTTTGTATTTTTAGAGACGGAGTTTCATCATGTTGTCCAGGCTGATCTCGAACTCCTGGCCTCAAGTGATCTGCCCGCCTTGGTCTCCCAAAGTGTTGGGATTACAGGCGTGAGCCATCGCACTTGGCCGACTGTATTCTTTATGAATTTTTTTTACATCAAAAAGCTCATTTGTAATATTTTCTGTATGTATGCATGCTATAAAATTTATTTTGTTTCATTTTAATTTTTTAAAAATAGAGATGTGGTCTGATTGTTTTGCCCAGCCTGGTTTTGAATTCTGGGCTCAAGTAATCCTCCCACCATGGCCTCCCAAAGTGCTGGGATTACAGGCATGAGCCACCATGCCCGGCCTATAAAATTTATTGTAAAGGAAAAGGTATATTTTTATTAAGCTGATAATCTTTACATAAATACTGAAGCATGGCATATTTCTTTATTCTACTTGGGCTATTTTGTGTTGTATTAAGAAGAATTTTTTGTTTGTTTTTTCTTCTTACTATGCTTGTTTCTGGAATACTCCTTTCCTCCCTTATCTTCCAAACTCTACTACATCTAAATTTATCCTATTTTTCAAGGGTTTGATCACATATTACATCATCCAGGAAATGTCTCTCCTGTTCCCTCTTCTCCAAAATGTATATTATTTTTCTAGAAACTCTTGATCCTTTGCCTCTAGACCATAAGCCCTTTGTAGGCATGTCTGTATCTGAGTTTTTAAATTTCATTTCCTCTTTTCCCACTCCCAGAATAACACCTTGTGCCCGGGAGTAGCAGATACTTGTTGAATGCATAAAAGAGCTTTGCAGCTAGAGTTAGTGTGGATGCTGTAGAAGATGTCTGATACACATATGGCAGTTTGATGCTGAATAGTTTTTGGAAATTAAAAAACAGGTAGAAATTTCACCAATGGCAGTGACTAACATAGCTGTAATTAGTAAATCATCAAAATATTTATTTTTTTTTCCTTTTTACAGAGAAAGTCTCTCTCTGTTGCCCAGGCTGGAGAGTAGTGGTGTGATCATAGTTCAGTGCAGCCTCCGAGTCCTGGGTTCACACGGTCCTCCTGAGTAGCTGGGACTACAGGTGTGTGCCACCACACCTGGTCAATTTCTTTTATTTTGTAGAAACAGAGTCTCATTATGTTGCCCAGGCTGACCTCAAATTGCTGGGCTCAAGTGATCCTCCCACCTTGGCCTCCTGAAGTGCTGGGATTATAGGTGTGGGCCACTGAGCCCAGTTAAAAGCATTTCTTTAAAAAAGAAAAAAAAATTCTGTTTATTGGGATTTGGGGGAGGAAGAGAAAGTAAATATGGGATTGGTTCATCCTAGACAGCACTCATGGTTCTAGATAATATTAGAATGCAATAATGTTTTAATTTATATATGCAGGAAATTTTGGAGTAGTTTCAATCCTAGGAAAAAACTGGGAGTTAGAAATATGGGAAGATTGGCCGGCACGGTGGCTCATGCCTGTAATCCCAGCACTTTGGGAGGCCGAGGCAGGCGGATCACGAGGTCAAGAGATCGAGACCATTTTGGGCAACATGGTGAAACCCCATCTCTACTAAAAATACAAAAAAAAAAAAAAAAAAAAACTAGCTGTGCATGGTGGCATGCGCCTATAGTCCCAGCTACTCGGGAGGCTGAGGCAGGAGAATCGCTTAAACCTGGGAGGCAGAGGTTGCAGTGAACCAAGATTGTGCCACTGCACTCCAGCCTGGCGACAGAGTGAGACTCCCATCTCAAAAAAAAAAAAAAAAAAAGAAATATGGAACAGTTGGTTGATTATAATAGAATTTAGGACTCCCTTTGAAAGAATAATATTGACTAGTTTATATAAAAAATTAAATTCTTAAGTAGATTAGTCAGGAGTAAAGGAAAAGTCAAGATTCCCAACTTATTTGGATTTCTTTCCCCCATTACAGCGTACTCGAGGAACAAAATTTGGGCTGTTTGGCTGTTTTTATTCTTTGTTATACACGAATAAACTGATATCAAAACCAAATATATTGAGGTTATATTTTTCTTTCCTTTCTTATTTTTTTTTTGAGACGGAGTCTCGCTCTCACCCAGGCTGGAGTGCAGTGGCATGGTCTCGGCTCACTGCAAGCTCCACCTCCCAGGTTCACGCCATTCTCCTGCCTCAGCCTCCAGAGTAGCTGGGACTACAGGTGCCCGCCACCATGCCTGGCTAATTTTTTCTATTTTTAGTAGAGACAGGGTTTCACCATGTTAGCCAGGATGGTCTTGATCTCCTGACCTCGTGATCTGCCTGCCTTGGCCTCCCAAAGTGCTGGGATTACAGGAGTGAGCCACCGCACCTGGCGAAGGTTACATTTTTCTAGGAAAATTCGACTCAGATTTATGATGAGAGTCACCTTTATGCTTATAGATTGCCCCTTTACCCCATTCTTGGTTGAACTGACAGACATTCTTCTTGCCATTATCACTGTCATACACTGTTCGCATTCAGAGTAATTTGTTTTAGGCAATTCATTTCCCTTGGCAATAACATAGAGATTTATGTAACTTTGAAAATGTTTAAGTAGTCATCATCATGACTTTGAGTTTCTGTTCAAAGATGTTTAACTTTGCATTACTTTTAAGATTTTTAAATTCATTTTTAATTAGAATAACTTTTATGTATTTGGAGGTATTTGGAATGAAATCAAAACTTATGCTATCTAGGAGTTATAACCTAAAATATGCAGAACGTTAATATACCTGATGTAGGAGTATAAACATCCTGTTGAGGGGGGAGAAAGAAGTTACTTTATATTCACATAAAATCATTTTAATGCATGAAGGAGGATATGCTATTTTAAAATCTTATCTTTCACTAATTATAAGTAATACATTATTTTTTATATATACTGAAATTGAAAGAACCACTTCCTGGATGTAATCTACTGCGTTTGTTGCATATTCTTCCAGTTTTTTTTCTGTGTTTGTATAGTTTTCTATATTATGGAATCATAATATACTATTCTTTTGTATACTACTGTTCCAAGTTTGTCTATTTATTTCCGAGTTACCTTTATCAATCATTAACAGCAACTTAATAACTCATTTCTAGTACATGAAAATACCATAATTTGCCAGGCACGGTGACTCACTCCTGTTGTCCCAGTACTTTGGGAGGCTGAGGTGGCTGGATCACCGGAGGTCAGGAGTTCAAGACCAGCCTGGCCAACATGGTGAAACTCCATTTCTACTAAAAATACAAAAATTAGCAAGGCATGGTGGCATGTGCCTGTAATCCCAGCTACTTGGGAGGCTGAGGCAGGAGAATCACTTGAAACTGGGAGGAGGAGATTGCAGTGAGCCATGCCACTGAATTCCAGCCTGGGCGACAGAGTGAGACTCTGTTTCAAACAAAAAAAAAGAAAATACCATAATTTGCTTAATCAACTTATGGTCACTGGATTTTTTTTTCTGCCAGAAAAACAAAGCTGTAAACAATTGTGTGTGTGTGTATGAATATTTATGCACATGTACATATGTATATGTATCTTGTGTATTTGTACAAACAGCTTTGTAGGATAGATTCCTATAAGTGGAGTTGCTGAAATCAACTCCACTTTTGATTTGAATTCAAATCAAAAGATGTGAATAATGTAGATATGGATAGATATTTATACATTTTCCTTCCAAATGGTTGTTGTACCAATTTGTAAAGCTACCAATAGTATTCAGGTATGCCCCATACCCTGGCCAATACTAGATATTACAGTTTAAAACATTTTGACAATTTAGGAACTGAAAAAATGTGATTCTGATTGGTGTTTTATCAATCACTATTGAGGCTGAACTTTTTTTAATATGGAGAGAGTTGTATTTCTTTCTTTCTTTCTTTTTTTTTTTTTTTTTTGAAACGGAGTGTTGCTCTTGTTGTCCAGGCTAGAGTGCAATGGCTTGATCTCAGCTCACTGCAACCTCTGAATCCTGGGTTCAAGCAATTCTCCTGCCTCATCCTCCCTAGTAGCTGGGATTATAGGCATGCACCACCACTCCTGGCTAATTTTATATTTTTAGTAGACATGGGGTTTCTCCATATTGGCCAGGCTGGTCTCAAACTCTCAACCTCAGGTGATCTACCCACCTTGGCCTCCCAAAGTGCTGGGGATTACAGACGTAAGCCACCGCACCTGGCCTTTTTTTTTTTTTTTTTTTTTTAAGACAGAGACTCGCTCTTGTTACCCAGGCTGGAGTGCAGTGGCAGGATCTCGGCTCACTGCAAACTCCGCCTCCCATGTTCAAGCGATTCTCCTGCCTCAGCCTCCCAAGTAGCTGGGATTACAGGCATCTGCCACCACTCCCAGCTAATTTATGTATTTAGTAGAGATGGGATTTCACCATGTTAGTCAGGCTGGTCTTGTACTCCTGACCTCAGGTGATCCACCCACCTCAGCCTCCTGAAGGCTGGGATTACAGGTGTGCGTCACTGCGCTTGGCCATATGTCTTTTATAAATTGCCTACTTTTGCTCTTTGTTTATTTTCTGATGGGGCTACTGGTTTTTAACAGGTTAAAAGTTCTCTACATATTCACTTTTTTTCTTTCTTTTTCTTTTCTTTTCTTTTTTTTTTTTTTTTGAGACAGAGTTTTGCTCTTGTTGCCCAGGCTAGACTGCAATGGCGTGATTTCAGCTCACCTCAACCTCCGCCTCCCGGGTTCAAGTGATTCTCCTGCCTCAGCCTCCTGAGTAGCTGGGGTTACAGGCCTGCGCCACCATGCCTGGCTAATTTTGTTTTTTTACTAGACGTGGGGTTTCTCCATGTTGGTCAGGCTGGTCTGAAACTCCCGACTTCAGGTGATCTGCCTGCCTAGGCCTCCCAAAGTGTTGTTGGGATTACAGGCGTGAGCCAACGTGCCTGGCTTTATTCACTTTTTTCATACGTGTGCACATATCCCCCTAGCTATTCTTTTGTAATGTTATGTAGTCAGATAAATCCAAACCCAGCACTGTGCTGCTGTGGGAACGTGGGCACATTATTTAACCTCTGTACACCTTCATTTCCTTGTTTGTAAAATGGAGATAATGTAAATAGCATTAGGCATAGTGGATGGCACAAAGTAAGTAAATAATAAATGTTAGCTGTGACTCTTGTTAATTTATTTATGTGACTTTTGTGTTTTGTGCTCTACTTAAGACTTTCCTTGCTCCAAAACATAAAATATTCGCCTATCTACTAAACTAGAAAAACAAAGTGAGGAACATTATATGCCTCTATGTGTCTTTGCTTTAAAGATGAAAAACAACGTATACATTTTTGCTTGTATATCACAGGATATATGATACTTGGAAACATTGGTTGTCATAGTAAGAAGAATGAGTGAGAGGAAGACTTTTTAACTGCATGCGTTTTTGTATTTTTAAAACAAAGAAGTCCCCAGATTGTATTTAATACTTCAATGGTTTCTTTTTTTCCTTTTCCTTCTCTTTTTAAAACTTCTAATTCTTTGATCCATCTGGAATTTACTTCTGGTATAAGAAGTGAGACATATTTTGGGGGATAAAATTGTGTGTGAATTCTACCCCAACTAGCTAGTTGTGTCAGCACCATTTAGTGAATAATCTGTTTTTTGCCCCACTATTAGAATTGCAGCTTTTGTCATTTACTAAATGTGTTTGGGACTATTTCTGATTGGTCTTGTTATTTTGGTCTCTTGTGTATTACCATACACTTTAAATTACTATCATTTTATAATTTTAATACAGATGGGGTTAGTTACCTGTTCATTACTCTTTTTTTTCAGACTTTGACATTTCTGGTCTATGTGTTCTTCTAGATGAACTTTAGAATCATTCTGTGACATTCAAAAAGAAATCATAGAGATTTTTATTACATACTGAATATTGATTGGGAATACTGAAATTGTAGGTGAAGTTTGGGGAAATTGACATCTTTATGTACTTACTGTCCTGTGTTCTAATAGATTTTTATGTCTCTCAGTAGATTTTCAAACTTTGCTTCAAATAAGTCCTGTACAAATAAGTCTTGTATATTTCTTGTTTATTTATTTTAAAAAATATCAGACCCATGAATGGGAGTTTGTTTATTTTATTCAACAAATATTATAGAGAATCAAACAGGTAGTTTTTATTCTAGTGAGAGAAGACAGAATATACTCAAATAAAATGAAGTACGTAATCCATTTCAGATTATGATAGACCTGTAAAGGAACCAAAAGGGTGATGTGATTGAGAGTAACTCGTGGGAACTTACCTTATATGTAGGATGGTTGGAAAGACTCTTCTGAGATGACATTTGAACTGAGACCTTAAGTTTGAGGAGGAGCTAGCCACCTGAATGAGCCAGGAACAGCGTTCCTGGCAGAGAGTAAAGAAGGACGAAGGCCCAGCTAGGAAGGACCTGGCAGAGAAGGGCTCCTAAAGAAACTGAAAGGAAACTCATGTTGCTGGGGCCTAGTGAGCAATCTAGAAAGTAAGCAGGCCAAATCAAGTAGGGCCTTGGGTCATCGTAAGTAGTTGAGACTTTATTTGCAGTGCGTAGGAAATCCTTGGGGAATCTGAAGCAGGAGAGTGACATGTTCCGATTTAAGGTTTAAAAAGAACACTTGGCTTTTTGAGTTGAGAAAGTATTGAAGTGGGAAGCCCAGTTAGGAGTTTTTGCAGCAAGAGGTAAGGAGGGTGGTAGTTAGATGGAGAGGCCTGGGAAGCTTCAGAGTCTGTGCGTGTGTGTGTGTGTGTGTGTGTGTGTGTGTGTGTAAGGAACAGCCAAACAACTTGCTGTTGGAGTGGGTGCTACTGAGAGCTAAGTACTGCTAGCTGCTGCAGAGGCCGTGTAGAGCAGAACAGAGCTGATATTTGCCTTCGCAGGCGTTTGATAGTTCTGTTTGTTTCTAAGGTGTGTACCAAAATAAAGTAGGCTAAGAGCATTTGACTTTAAGATTTGTGGAGCTCGGGGGTGTTGAGGGGGGTGCAGCAAAAAGCAGAGTCTGTTCATAACCCTTGATTTATATTGCTTAATAACCTGTAGTCTCTGTTAGTGGGTCAAAGGGGAGGCAGCAGCAGATGATCTTTAAGGTATCTGTCTCTGAGTTAGAAAAACATAGCTTGAGGAGGTTATGCAGCTTCCCTACAGCCTTAGAGCTAATAGTGGAACCAGACTTTTAGGTGAGCTCATGCACACACCAAGTCTTAGCACACTGCCTAGTATATATCTAGAGCTCAATAAATGGTAACTCTTTTAGTACTATCCACTTAGATATTGTTATATCTATTAATTCAGGCCAAATATCTACATTAAAATTTTTCTTATCTTAATTTCTTTGTTCTTCTTTTGTGTTAATCAAGGAGGGAATTGGCATGTAGTCATCCATTTTGCTTGTGAAATTTATTTGTTCTTGTTTTGTTTGTTTGTTTTGAGATGAAGTCTTGCTCTGTTGGTCAGCCTGGAGTGCAGGGGTGCGATTTCGGATCACTGCAACCTCTGCCTCCCAGGTTCAAGTGATTCTCATGCCTCAGCTTCCTGAGTAGTGGGATTACAGGTGTGCACCACCACGCCTGGCTAATTTTTTGTATTTTTTTTTTTTTTGAGATGGAGTCTCACCCTGTCACCCAGGCTGGAATGCAGTGGTGTGATCTCTGCTCACTGCAACCTCTGCCTCCCAGGTCCAAGTGAATCTCCTGCCCCAGCCTCCCAAGTAGCTGGGATTACAGGCGCACGCCACTATGCCCGGCTAATTTTTGTATTTTTAGTAGAGATGGGGTTTCACATGTTGGTCAGGCTGGTCTTGAACTCTTGACCTCGTGATCCTCCCGCCTCAGCCTCCCAAAGTGCTGGGATGACAGGTGTGAGCCACCATGCCCAGCCATATTTTTTGTATTTTTAGTAGAGACAAGGTTTCACCAGGTTGGCCAGACTGGTCTTGAACTCCTGACCTCAAGTGATCCACCTTCTTCTGCTTCCCAAAGTGCTGGGATTAGAGACGTGAGCCACTGTGCTTGGCTGGTTTTGAAATATATTTGTTCTTGTAAGTTGAGTGAGTGAGTGTTGTTCAGTTCAGAGAATTAGTTCAGTGTAGTGCCGACATAACACAGAGTTCTCAGTTGGATATTGTTACATTGTACTCCTGTCTTGGGACAGCACTTTATGTAGAGGTAAAGTAGCATCATTTTTCTTTCATTTAAGAATTATGTATTTATTATTTTTTGAAATAGAGTCTTGTTCTGTTGCTCAGGCTGGAGTGCAGTGGCACGATCTTGTCTCACTGCAACCTCTACCTCCTGAGTTCAAGTGATTCTCATGCTCAGTCTCCTGAGTAGCTGGGATTACAGACATGTGCCACCACGCCCGGTTAGTTTTTGTATTTTTAGCGTAGAAGGGGTTTCGCCTTTTTGGCCAGGCTGGTCTCAAACTCCTGGCTTCTAGTGATCCACTTGCCTCGGCCTCCCAAAGTGTTGGGATTACAGGCATAAGCCACTGTGCCTGGCCAGAATTACTTATTGAATATGTGTACCCATAGATTTATCAAATAATTGTATCCTTATTAAAATTTTTCTTTCAATATCATACTTTATAAGAGGTAGGATAGGTTAACTAAAAAGCTTTTTCTTTAGCTTCCATTTGTTTCTCTGTCTTTAAGTAAGATGTCATGATGTCAGAAGAGGCTGCAAATAAAATACCTTGTCAATGGCATTCCCCCAGGTTAGATCTTAACCAAAAGTCTGAGAAGCAGTAGCTTTTTTTCCCCTCAAAGGGAAGAATGCTTTAGTTTATTTTACAGGAGAAAATTTATTCCAGTATAGCACCACTCTGGTCTTGTACAAATTACAGAATTCACTTAGATAATTTCTAGTCTTTCCTCTCCTGGATGCTGGACTCTGTAATAAGTTTAGGAGGTCAGCTTTCTTTAAATTATCCCCAGGTTGGAGGATTTTAGGTGTCGGGATGCCCAGGGTGGTGGTCCTTCTTAGCCTTGTCTTGCCTAACATACTTTTAAAATTGGTCTAGAGCTGGACAGCTTTGTGGGAACTGGTGTGACCTAATTTGCTTCAGTTTAATAACTAATATTTTAGCATTTGAATGTCATAGAGGCATTGCCCTATCACATACTTTTGTATCAGGAGGTTTTATTATTTTATCAGTTAAAAATTGCATGTTTTGTAGGATCCTTTTTCTGCTTTGGTGAAATGTAGGCTTCACCTCTATTGTGACGCTTGGTGGATTCATTCTTGCTCATCTGAAGTGGCATCTGCGGTCCTGCCACAGTGAAGTATATTTTTAGCTTTTTTTTTTTTTTTGAGATGGAGTCTCGCTCTGTTGTCAAGCTGGAGTGCGGTGGCACGATGCCAGCTCACTACAACCTCTGCTTCCTGGATTCAAGCGATTCCCCTGCCTCAGTCTCCCGAGTAGCTGGGACTACAGGTGTGCACCACCATGTCCGGCTAATTTTTTTTTGTATTTTAGTAGAGATGGAGTTTCACCATGTTGGCCAGGATGGTCTTGATTTCCTGACCTTGTGATCTGCCGGCCTTGGCCTCCCAAAGTGCTGGGATAACAGGCGTGAGCCACTGTGCCCGGCCATTTTTAGCTTTTTTTCCAAGATGGCTTAGGCCACCTTGAACACCTTTGCATAACACATTTTGTTTATGCAAAGGTTGTGGGCCAAAAGCCAGGAGTTCCTGCTGAGAGGAAAAATTGCTTGTTTTTTGGCAGGATAGTATTTGAAATTCTGTTGTTGCAAGATTTTCCTGTTGAGTAAATATGTGTGTGTTTATTTAATATGAGAAGATTTAAAAAGGAACTTAAATAGATCAATTTCATTTTGCAATATGGTATTACCTGTTTGCAATATGTAAGAGGCTAGTTCTGGGTTTATCTGTATAATTCAGTTAGAAGTGCTATTGTCTTTTATGACAGTGACATAATTATTACTATATTATTCTCATCCTAAAACATTATATGTTGATATTTAAGAGATGAGGAAGTTGCTTATAAAATCTTGATCATATTTCTTAAACAATTCATAGAATTTTTTTGGTTCATGAGTCAACCATGTAACTACCCTGAGTTAATGAGTTTTGGTGCTAAGAACTGAAATTATAATTTGATACTGCCACTTAAGGTGCTCCCTTCCCCTTCAGTCTGAACTTTAGATTCTTTCATTTCAGTGGGTTTCAAATGTAAAGTATTCTGCCGAGGTATCTTAGTGAGCCAGGACTGAAGTGAAGGGTGGAGGGAGGGATGGGGAAGGGCAGGGGGAGACTGAAAAGATGAATCCTAGGTCTCCCATTCTCACTAGATCAGAATGTTTCTCCATTGTACCTTTTGTACATTTAGCTTTCATTTAAGACTTTTGAGGAAAACCTTCTGGTTAAAAAACAAGATCTGAGCACTGTTGCCCTGTATCTCGTGGATAAGTTTTGAGGAAGGAGGTTGTAGTGGTCTCCAGGCTGCAGTTCATGTGAGGAAAGGAAGGGCTTGCTTTGACCTGTAAATTTGTATGCCAGTAGGGGCTAATTTCCTGAATTTGCTAGTGTTTTTTTTTTTTTTTTCCCCTTCTGTATTGGGCGAATAGTACTTTTAAATAAAACTGACTTTTTTGTTTTTTTTTTTGAGATAATAAAGTTAAACTTCATTAAAGTCATACCACAAAACTAGGACAACAGGAAGGATTACTGAGATGAGGGAAAAAATGGAGAAGTCACTTAACTTGTGACTTTGAGTGACATTGAGTGTAATTGTTGAACTCAAGACTCACCATAGCTGAAAGTTAAACAATGTGCATTAAAAAATTGTACCTCATGGGTTTCTAATCATTTAGGCCACTGTTAGAAAAAAATGGGATGACCCTGGGTTAAAATCTTTTCTTTTTTTTTTTTTTTTTGCCTCTGCATTCCATTTATAGCTTTATTTATTTGGGATGTCTGAGTTGGGAGGAGAGCACAGAGATAGATCACTTAAAGCATGTTTTAGGACAGCAGATCAGAATTAGTTGGAAAACTTTTACAAAATGCATGAACGTTCATATAGTGAAATACTCTTGTTTTTGGACAGAGTTTCATTCTTGTTGCCCAGGCTGGAGTGCAATGGCATGATTTCGGCTCACCGCAACCTTTGCCTCCCGGGTTCAAGCAATTATCCTTCCTCAGCCTCTCGAGTAGCTGGGATTACAGGCATGTGCCACCATGCCTGGCTAATTTTTGTATTTTCAATAGAGACGGGGTTTCAGCTTGTTGGTCAGGCTGGTCTCGAACTCTCGACCTCAGGTGATCCACCTGCCTTAACCTCCCAAAGTGCTGGGATTACAGGCGTGAGCCACCACGCCTGGCCCATATAGTGAAATACTCTTTAGCAATAGAAAGAACCAAAGTTGCATGAGAATAATTGCCAAGATGTATTTTTTTGTTGTTGGGGGGACGGAGCCTCCCTCTGTCGCCCAGGCTGGAGGTTGGTGATGTGATCTCGGCTCACTGCAAGCTCTGCCTCCTGGGTTCATGCCATTCTCCCCACCTCAGCCTCCTGAGTAGCTGGGACTACAGGCACCCGCCACCATGCCTGGCTAACTTTTTTGTATTTTTAATAGAGACGGGGTTTCACTGTGTTAGCCAGGATGATCTTGATCTCCTGACCTCATGATCCACCCGCCTCAGCCTCCCAAAGTGCTGGGATTACAGGTGTGAGCCACCGCGCCAGGCCAACCAAGATGTATTAAGTAATAAAAGCAAGATACAGAACAGTGTGTTTCTAGTATGCCACCATTTACATAGGGGAAAAAGTTTGAGTGTATGTATGTGTAGGATATTTCTAAAGGACACTCTAGAAACTAGTAACTTTGGTTGCCTTCTGGGAGGGTAACTGGGTAGCAGCTGGAGGAGAAGGGCGAGGAGATTTTTCACTTTGTATTCTGTGGTACTTTTAAAAACTCTTAAGTCCTGCATATAATGTTTATTTCTAAAAAAATCAACCCTCCCCACAATGCCACATGTTGGCTTTTCCCTTTCCACCTGGAGCAGTTGCAGATGTATAGATGAGGAGAAAGCTCCTCAGGTGGTTTTAATGTCTGGTCTCACGGAACATCTCAGCTCCTCCTAGTTCACTACTTGCTGAGAAAGCCACAAAGCATTGCAGAAAACATTAGTTTTTCCCATTTTGCCACAGACAATTTTGTGATACTGGAGGAATTATTGACTTTCTCTGATCTTCACGTTTCTCACCTGTCAAATCAGTGTTAGTTGGGTAATCTCAACCTTCCAATCCTTAAGATTTGCTGACCTCCATGCCTTGGGCCTTGGAAGGGAGCAAGGAGAAAACAGACTGAGGGACAGCTGGTCAGTCTTCTGACTCTTCTCCTGGTCAGCTTTCACAACAGCAGGAAACGTGACATCAGGAGAAAGGATGATATATTTATTTAAAATATTTATATATTACATGGTACCACATGCAGTTTTTAAAGTTCGTTCTTTTTTTTTTTTTTTTTTTTTTTTGAGCTGGAGTCTGGACCCCTCACCCAGGCTGGAGTGCAGTGGCACCATCTCAGCTCACTGCAACCTCCGCCTCCCAGCTTCAAGTGATTCTCTTGCCTCAGTCTCCTGAGTAGCTGGGTTTACAGGCATGTGCCACCATGCCTGGCTAATTTTTTGTATCTTTAGTAGAGACTGGATTTCACCATGTTGGCCAGGCTGGCCTTGAACTCCTGACTTCGTGATCTGCCCACGTTGGCCTCCTAAAGTGCATGAGCCACCACACCTGGCCTTAAAGTTCTTTCTATACGTTTTTTCTTTTATTTTTTGAGTCAGAGTTTCATTGTATCACCCAGGCTGGAGTGCAGTGGCACAATCATGGCTCACTGCAGTCTTGACCTCCTGGGCTCAAGTGATCCTCCTGCCTCAGCCTCCCAGGTAGCTGGGACCATGGGTGTGTACCGCCATGCCTAATTATTTTTTTCTTTTTTTTTTTTTTTTTGAGACAGAGGCTTGCTCTGTCGCCCAAGCTGGAGTGCAGTGGCCCGATCTCGGCTCACTGGAAGCTCCAACTCCCAGGTTCACGCCATTCTCCTGCCTCAGTCTCCCGAGTAGCTGGGACTACAGGCACCCACCATCACGCCCAGCTACTTTTTTGTATTTTTAATAGAGACGGGGTTTCAGCGTGTTAGCCAGGATGGTCTTGATCTCCTGACCTCGCGATCCGCCCGCCTCGGCCTCCCAAAGTGCTGGGATTATAGGCATGAGCCACCACACCTGGCCGCCTAACTAATTATTATTATTATTATTTTAATTTTCTTGTAGAGATAGGTCTGGCTTCATTGCCCAGGCTGACCTTGAACACCTGGCCTTAAGAGATCCTCCGATCTTGACTTCCCAAAGTGCTGGGATTACAGATGTGAGCCACTGTGGCCAGCCTATAAGTTTTGTTTTAAAGTTAGATTGAATGACAATTCCCTAGAAAATTTTATTTTCTAAACCTAACTTGATAAAAAATATACTGATAAAAACTGGGAAATTGATCAATTTGTCATACTGAATTATTTTTTGAATTTGCCCTCTTCCCAAATACATTGAAATGATGGAAAGAAAATTAAAACTTTCATAATAAAGTATTAAATGGGTGGAGATTTTATATATATAAAATTACATCTGTTATATTTTTATGTATACAATTATATAATTTTCATCTTATATTTAAATTCTATTTTTTTAAAACCACCCAATTAGGTAATAATAGAACTCCAGTCTTAAAGTAAGAGTGTATGTACATACATGCACATGTGCATATGTGTATATAAAATTTTTGTCATGGGAGTTTTATACATAATTAAGATAGAAATTATATATTATGGCACACATTTTTATACATATGTAATATTCTCTACCATATGTATGTAAAATACTCCCATATTATGTATAACATAAATATTTGTGTTATCCTGAAACATAAACATAGATAATCATGTTTTAGGATGGGAATACTCAGGAGTACAAGGGTACCTGTTCTCCCATTAGTCAGTCTGTGAATTCAATATTTATGTGTTCTCATCCAGAATTTCTCTGGGACCTGACAAGCTGACTGTGATGCTTGTGTGTAAGAGGAAATGTGCTAGAATAGCTGGGAAGGTGGTGAAAGTAGCAGCAACAACAAAGCACAGTGAGGTGAAACTTGCCCTGCTGGATATGAAACCTCATAATACTAGAGTAATTTGAAAAGTGTGGCATTGGCACAAGAAAAGACAGACAAACCAAATTAGTCTAGAATTGTGGACAAGTAGGAATATACTTTATAATGAAGATGGCTTTGTTTTTCTTTTTTTTTTTTTTTGAGATGGAGTCTCACTCTGTTGCCCTGGTTGGTGTGCAATGGCGTGATCTCGGCTCACTGCAACCTCTGCCTCCCAGGCTCAAGCTATTCTCCTGCCTCAGCCTCCCAAGTAGCTGGGATTACAGGCGCATGTCACCATGCCCGGCTAATTTTTGTATTTTTAGTAGAAAAGAAGTTTCACCATGTTGGCCAGGCTGGTCTCGAACTCCTGACCTCAAGTGATCTGCCCACCTCAGCCTCCCAGAGTGCTGGGATTACAGGAGGAGCCACTACTTCTGGCCTTCTTTTTCTTTATTTGCTATTTCAGTTCCATAGAAGCATGCAAAGAGTAACATAACAAATGTCCATCTACCTACCATCTGTGATTACAAAACTTAGTATTTTACCATCCTTGCTTCAGAATTATTTAATAAAGACAATACTTCCTCTGCACAAATGCTTACCTTAAAACTACTCTTGAATTATTTTCATGATTGACTTATCAACTCCAAAATTTAAAACCATGTATTTTTGTCTTTATATTCCTCAGACATTTATAGAAAGTTATTTACTGAGCAGTTACTATGTGCCAGATATTATGCTGTTTTTATATACTGTTTTTACTTTATATAGCTAATTATATTATTTGTCACATATTAACCTATTTTAAATATAAAAAGAAATGACGCATTAATGTTTTCAAACCTTGGTAACTTTTATTAAGTAAATACTTGAGAGGAAGCTTTTACTGGTAATTGTGGTTTTATATATGTAGCTATAGTTATAATTTATTAGAAGTACACTTGGTGTTTTAGTTCTTATTAATTCTATTTTTTTCCCATCCTGTTTAGGTGGTTTCCTAGAAACATGATTGTTTATTGGCATTGATCTCACAGTCTGGTGAGGACTTCTTTACTGATAATGTCAAGTTCATGTTACCCTCCCAACCAAGGAGCATTCAGCACAGAACAAAGTCATTATCCTCCTCACTCTGTAAAGTATACGTTTCCCAGCACCTGCCACCAGCAGGTAAGGAACAAATACTATGCAAATTGCACGTGTTTTTTGTGTTTTTCTTTGCTTTTCCTATTTAATACACATGTTGGTAGAAACCACCAAATTTACCTTTTTTTTTAAGTGGCAAGAGCTATTTACAAAGACGAGGAACCAAAGGTTGGGAATTAATTACTTCTGTCTTCTTACTGTGGCTTTATGCCAATTTCAGGAGTTGAACTTGTCTTTGCTTTTGATGACAGGAGTTGATGATAAATAGAAAACTTATCAATTCTCTAGAATTTCTAGGGTAAGACCTATATTTATACTCTCAAGTTGTGGTTGAGTTTTAAGCTGGCCAGATAACTTGGCATGTCTTGAGTGATGGCCAGGATAAAGACCTCTGTCTTCTTGAGAGATTGATGGTACGAAGATTTGTATAGTAGGTAGGAAGGAAGGAAGGGATGGTAGATAGGAAGGAAGACTTTATCATAGGAAGAGTTTGTAAGAGATTGATTTACCTTGTGAAAAATAAAGTATGAGGTGAAATAATCATCTCAGGGTAGACCAAGGATATGGGTGTAAGAGGTTTAAAGAAAAATAGGAAAGGATGGGATAAAACGGTCATCTCAGAGACTCAGAAAGCAGATTTGTCATCAGAATGTACTACGGGGTCCTACTGAGGACTCCTTTGAAGTGTAGTCATGATTACAGAGTTAGAATGGGCATTCTTAACGTTGTTCCTGTGTAGGGAGGCATTTAGTCTTTTACCATTACGTGTAATGTTAGTTGCACGTTTTTGTTGATTCTTTTTTTGGTTGAAGAGGTTGCTTTCTGTTCCTAGTTTGAGAATTTCTGTCATGATTGGATGTTGAATTTTGCTTGTGTTGTCCCCCTCCTACACCAGTGTTATTCATCTGATTACCAATTTTCCGGATTATTGTTGCTGGTGTTTTTTTCATAAAATCAGGCCGGGCGCAGTGGCTCACGCCTGTAATCCCAGCACTTTGGGAGGCTGAGGCGGGTGGATCACTTGAGGTCAGGAGTTTGAGACCAGCCTGGCTAACATGGTGAAACCCCATCTCTACTAAAAATATGAAAAAATTAGCCAGGCACCTGTAATCCCAGCTACTTGGGAGGCTGAGGCTGGAGAATCGCTTGAACCCAGGAGGCAGAGGTTGCAGTGAGCCAAAATCGTGCCGGTGGACTCCAGCCTGGGCAACAAGAGTGAAACCGTGTCTTAAAAAAAACAAAATTAACTTTGAAGTTAGTTTATATATATACACATATATCTATATTAGAATGCACTCATTATATGTGTACATTGTAACAAATTTTGACAAAGTCATAAACTCATAGAACCATCACCAAAATGAAGATGAACAACATTTCTAACACTCCAGCACGTTCCTTGGCACCCACCCGTGTCAGTCCTCCTCTCCCACTTCCTACTAACCTCAGCTCCTAGGAAACCACTGATCTGCTATCTATCATCAAACATTGTATACGTTCTGAGCTTCATGGGAACTCTTTTGCCTGTGACCTCTTTTGCTTCCCATAATACTTCTGTGATCTATCCATGTGTGGCATGTCTCAGTTCATTCCTTTTTATTGTTGAGATGGGTATACCACAATTTGTTTATCCAGTCACCTATTCCAGTTTTTGATTATTATAGGTAAAATTACTTAGAAAACATAGATCTATATATCTGTTGTATCTAGATTATTAAAAGAAGTATTGCCTAATTTTCTTAACAGTATCCTTTGGGGAGCGTACATTTTTTATTTTTATGAAGTCCGATGTACTTTTTTTTTTTGAGACAGAGTCTTGCTCTGTCGCCTAGGCTGGAGTGCTATGGTGCCATCTCAGCTCACTGCAACCTCTGCCTCCCAGGTTCAAGCAATTCTCCTGCCTCAGCCTCCTGAGTAGCTGGAATTATAGGCATGTGCCACCACGCCCAGGTAATTTTTGTATTTTCAGTAGAGATGGAGTTTCACCATGTTGGCCAGGCTGGTCTCGAACTCCTGACCTCAGGTGATCCACCCTCCTTGGCCTTCCAAAATGCTGGGATTACAGGTGTTAGCCACTGCACCCAGCCCCGATGTCTTATTTTTATTGTTCATTTTTTGTGCTTTTTGTGTCAAATCTAAGACGTTTTTGCGAAATTCAAGGTCACTAAGATTTTCACTTACGTTTTCTTTTTTTCTATTTTTGTTTTGTTTTGCTTTTTTTTTTTTTTGAGGTGAAGTCTTACTCTATTGCCCAGGCTGGAGTGTAGTGGTGCAATCTCGGCTCACTGCAAGCTCTGCCCCCCGGGTTCACACCATTCTCCTGCCTCAGCCTCCCGAGTAGCTGGGACTACAGGCACCACCACGCCCAGCTAATTTTTTTTGTATCTTTAGTAGAGATGAGGTTTCACCCTGCTAGCCTCAATCTCCTGACCTCGTGATCCACCCGCTTCGGCCTCCCAAAGTGCTGGGATTACAAGTGTGAGCCATCGCGCCTGACCAATTTTCACTTATGTTTTCCTCTCTAAGTTTTATAATTATAGGTCTTTCATTTAGGTAAATTACCTATTTTGAATTAAAATTTTATATGTGGTGTGGTAAGCATTGAGTTTCAGTCTTTCTGCATTAAGAATGATGTTAGCTTGGGGAGTGCTCTTTACTCCTGTTTTCTTAAGGGGTTTGTGTAGGATTGGTACTTTTCTTTGAGATGGAGTCTTGCTTTGTCATCCAGGCTGGAGTGCAGTGGTGCGATCTCGGCTCACTGCAACCTCCATCTCCTGGGTTCAAGAGATTCTACTGCCTCAGCCTCCCGAGTAGCTGGGATTACAGGCACGTGCCACCATGCCCGGCTCATTTTGTATTTTTAGTAGAGATGGGGTTTCTCCATGTTGGTCAGGCTGGTCTCGAACTCCTGACCTCAGGTGATCCATCTGCCTCAGCCTCCCAAAGTGCTGGGATTACAGGCGTGAGCCACTGTGCCCGGCCCCAGCTAATTTTTTTGTATTTTTAGTAGGGCCAAGTTTTCACTATGTTGGCCAGGCTGGTCTCGAACTCCTGGCCTCAAGCAATCTGCCTGCCTAACATATTCTAATATTTTTCCCAGTGTCTTTTTGTTTCAATTTTTCTTTTTTTTTTAAAGCATACTGAAGTTTAAAATGTTTTTACTGCCATCAAATCTTTTTTCTGTAATGTTTATTAACCTTTATGCCTAATTGCCCTTTCTTCCCTGATATCAGATAAATAAGTACCCACATATTTTCTTTGAGTTTTCATGCAATGAAGAGTAATTTAAAAGATAATAAATGTATCTACAATTTATTTTCAAATAGTTCAGCCAAAATGAAGTTTTATACACATACACAGACACACACAGAAAGCAAATATGTTAAAATGTTAACTACTGGTGAATTCAGATGAAGGATAAATGATTGTCCATTACACTGTTCCTTCAACTTTTAAGTGAATTTGAAATTTTTCAAAATAGTAAGTTGGATGGGGAAAAATTGTTTGCCGTAAGCTGGAAATTAGCTAAGCTTCTAGGTGTTTTGTGACCCACCTTATCATGTGAAATATCTTTATCATACAGTAGTCTGTGGGGTTTATAAGAAATGTTCTGCTGCATTAAAAAAAAGAAATTTAAAAATATAATGAATAAAGGTCATCTTCCATCGCTGAATACATTACCACAAATGTAATTTATAGAATTTCGTTTTTTAGCAGAAAAGTGTCTTAAAAACTCATTCATTAAAGTGAGTGTGTTGTGTTGTAGTGTGACCCATTTCCATGTTATAGTTGAGAAACTGGATGTTCAGAAGAATTAAGTGACCTAGGTAGTACCTCCTGAGTTGGAATTAACCTAGGACCCCTGACTCTAGTCCTGCTTTTTCTCCTCTAAAGTGTAAACCATGACTACTACTACTAACTAATACTTCTCTTTCCATCTCCCTCTCCCCATTCTCTCCCAACTGCCCACCTCCAGAAGTAAGGATTTAAAAAGAACTAACATTTGTTAGATTTTTTTTTTAGATGTTAAGCCTAGGTATATCATTTATAGAAGAATTAAATAAGCTTGAAAGAAAAAATTACCTACAGTTTTACCAGTTAAAATTTATTAACATTTTCATGTTGAGTCTTCCCTATTTGTGTGTGTATTATTTTAATTTTTATTTTATTTTATTTTGTAGGTTCTTTTTTCTTTCTTTTTTTTTTTTTTTTGCTGCTGCTCCTTGTGGAACAGGGCTAACCCATAGGCAGCATGTCCAGAGTCAGCCCGTACAAGTATTTTAATGTGCTCACTTTGTACATTCTGTTTAACTTTACTTTTGCTTAAATATGTGCTTAGCTTCTTTTCGTGCCAATAAGTTTACAACTGTATTGTTAGTGGCTACTTAGTATTCCACATATGAATAAATAAAGTTCACTGATTAAATATTTATTTAATCAATTGTCATACATTTAGGTTGCCTGTTTGTTCAGAAGTACGGTGTTGTGACGTGCATTGTTTTTGTTTTGTTTTTTTTTTTTTGAGACAGAGTCTCACTTTTATTGCCCAGGCTGGAGTGCAGTGGCACGATCTTGGCTCACTGCAACCTATATCTCCCAGCGATTCTCTTGCCTCAGGCTCCCAAGTAGCTGGGACTACAGGCGCATGCCACCAAGTTCAGATAATTTTTGTATTTTTAGTGGAGACGAGGTTTCACCATGTTGGCCAGGCTGGTTTCGAACTCCTGACCTCAGGTGATCTGCACACCTTGGCCCCCCAAAGTGCTGGGATTATAGGCATGAGCCACTGCAGCTGGCCCATACATTATTTAGGTTGTTTTTTTTTTGTATGCATTCTTACTTATTTCCTTAAGGTAGATTTCTTTTAGTATAATTAATTACAGACCAGGTTGATTTTTAAGGTTCAGTGGGTATTTCCAGATTGTCCTGCAAAAGACTAGGGCCAGTTCTTAACTCCTGGCAACAGTGTATAAAGGTACCCACTTCTTGACCGGGCGCAGTGGTTCACACCTGTAATTCTAGCACTTTGGGAGGCTGAGGCAGGCAGATCACCAGAGGTGAGGAGTTCAAGACCAGCCTGGCCAACATGGTAAAACCCATCTCTACTAAAAATACAAAAATCAGCCAGGTGTGGTGGTACAAGCCTGTAATCCCAGCTACTCAGGAGGCTGAGGCAAGAGAATCATTTGAACCCGGGAGGCAGAGGTTGCAGTGAGCTCAGATTGCACCATTGCACTCCAGCCTGGGTGACAAGAGTGAGACTTTGTCTCAAAAAATAAAAAAAATAAATAAAAATAAATAAAGGTACCCACTCCTTCTGTATCCTTGCTGACACCACGTTTATCGTTTAACAAAAAGATTGTTAATTTGATGAATGATTGTTTTTAACTTACTATTTGTTAGTAAAATGTAACTTTTTTTATTTGTTTATTGGTTATTTTTCCTGTTTTGTAAATTGTTTTTTCATATATGTTGCCCATTATTCTGTTGGTTTATTTTATATTGAGTTGTTAGAGTGCATGTTTTGCAAATGGTTTCCCTATTTAATCATTTGCCTTTTTAATTTGTTATTACTGTTTTGATAAGCAGAAGATTGTGTTTTTGCATGTGTAGTTTTTTTTTTTTTTGAGACGGAGTCTTCCTCTGTCACCCAGGTTGGAGTGCAGTGGTGCCATCTCTGCTCACCGCAACCTCCGCCTCCCGGGTTCAAGCCATTCTCCTGCCTCAGCCTCCCGAGTAGCTGGGATTACAGGCTTGTACCACCACACCTGGCTGATTTTTGTATTTTTAGTAGAGATGGGTTTTACCATGTTGGCCAGGCTGGTCTTGAACTCCTCACCTCAAGTGATCTGCCTGCCTCGGCCTCCCAAAATGCTGGGATTACAGGTGTGAGCCATCGTGCCCAGCAGAAGATTGTTTTTTATTTTATCCATCAATTTTTCTTTTTTAAAAACT
Source organism: Homo sapiens (assembly GCF_000001405.40). NCBI lineage: Eukaryota > Metazoa > Chordata > Mammalia > Primates > Hominidae > Homo > Homo sapiens. The sequence goes on along the minus strand of NC_000017.11, from coordinate 22,064,503 downwards.
AATGTCTTTTATATCTTTTGCTTTTGGCTTTCCTGAACCCAAGATAATGTGAATCTTTTTTTTTTAACTTGAGGCTTTTTGTGATTTGCTAATAAGCCTCTTATAAATGTTTGCTATTACTTGGCTTTTTTTGATGTAAGATATGAGGTAAGAATCTAATTCTTTTTCTTCAGGATTGGTATCTGGCTGTTTCAACCCAAGATTGTAAGCTTCATGAAGGCAGATATCTTGTGTGTTTTGATCCAGCACCCTATTCCTGTTACATAAGTAGGCACTTGAGGATTTGGTTTCTTATTAAATATTTAATATTTAGAAAGGAAGTCAGTGGAAAATATTTATTTGTAATATTAATTCTTTGGGCATGCACCAGAATCACCAGAGGAGCACTTTTGAAGTCTGCTGAATCAAAATGTAATCTCTTTTGCTATTATATATGTTTCTGTAACACAAATTTACTCATATGCATATAGTGGGAGAATGATATTAATGTATCATGAAAGTCCTGGTGGTTCATCAAAGATCTTTCTTTATGCATTAACATTTCTAAGTTCTCAGGAGTACGCGTCTCATAATGAAGAAAAAGGCTTCAGAACACATGAAGACTTAAAAATATTTGAACATTCTGCATTTAGTTTTCATTTAGTGCAAGTAGTAACTGGTTTAGTGAATTTAAGAACTGTTGTGCTTTTCACGGTGTTACTGAAGATTCGAGCATTGAAAAGACAACGTGAAGACAAATTTTCTTGTGTGTTTTTTAACGATGATAAAGGAGGGAGGGGGAGAAAAAGAGGTTGATACAGATGGTTATATGCCAAATCTGACTTTTTTTTTCTTTTTTTTGAGATGGACTCTCGCTCTGTCACCCGTGCTGGAGTGCAATAGTGCAATCTCAGCTCACTGCAACCTCTCCCTCCTGGGTTCAAGCCGTTCTCCTGCCTCAGCCTCCGGAGTAGCTGGGACTACAGGTGCCCGCCACCACGCCCAGCTAATTTTTGTATTTTTTAGTAGAGACGGGGTTTCACCATGTTGGTCAGGCTGGTCTCGAACTCCTGAACTTGTGATCTGCCCACCTTGGCATCCCAAAGTGCTGGGATTACAGGCATGAGCCACCATGCCCGGCCACTGATACTTTATTTAGATGAAACATACTGGTTTATTTTGGAAGCCAATGACCTCACGGATTTACATCTTAAGAGAGGAATCATAAACTGTAGGGCTTAAAGCTGCCAAAGATTGACTGTATGCCAGATGCAAAGGATACTGGAGCTTTAACTTTATTAAGTATATTAGAATTGTTATTGCTTTTATTGGTGCTTTCCTTACAGAATTGTACAGGTTTTAAGGTATAGCCTTAATCTTATTTTCCCAGAAGGCCTCTTAGATTCAGTGCATACTATTACAGAATATGAGGCTTTTCATCAATGTATATTAGCTGAAATATCTGTACTAAGGTGTTTTGAAGCAACTGTCCAGTTATCTCCTGTATGCATTCTTGGCTCAGAACTATTGACTTTTCACAGTTCCTTAATCATTATTTAATACATTTTAGGGTTCTTTAATCCTGTGAACTACCCTCATTGTAGGTTTCTCATAGTCTAAGTAAAATTAGTACTCTAAAATTTATCTGTTTTATAATATTGCTTATGTCTTTACAGCAGACTGGAAATTAATAGGGTGTGTGTGGATGTGTGCTGGAGGGTAGTGGATTTTGGGTGAAAGGGCTTTCATTCTGCTACAGCTCTGCTGATTTGGAGGCGCAATGGGATGTTTTTGGCTAAGGAAGTGTTACGTATGCTGTAGTGTGGGCTTTATGAAAGTAGGCCCAGAGATAGTAGCAACTGAAGTTCCTAGGTCACTTCTCTGACTCGTGTACCTCAGTTTTGGTTTGGGAAGCCTGAAAACTTTTGATAGGAACACTTGGCTGTGTTATAGTTGTTAAGTTGGGTGGACACATAGGTGTTACCTGGAATAATACTATTTCCCAGCCAGTTGTTCAGACCATTTGAAGAGCCATTGCAAGGAAATGGCTGAGAAGTTGGTATCTTCCTTTGTCATGATTGCATTATTTACCTATAAATTCTTTATAATTTCAGTATCGTTACACTAGAGGCTGATCAACACTAACTCACCTGACTTTGTATAGCTTTTAGGCTCTTCAAAATAGTACATGGTATATCTAAACTACAAAAGTGAGGTGAGAATTTGCATATATATAAATATGAAAGTTACTACTAAACATTAGACACATAGTACACATGGTTCTGCTGTGGTTTAAAACTGGCTTTTTCATTTAAGGCAATCTGGACTCTATTAGTGAGAAATAAATTGTTTTTCTTGGTTTTATTCTCTAAAGGATCCAACATTTGGAGGCAAACATGAAGCTCCATCCTCTCCAATTTCGGGGCAACCATGTGGAGATGATCAAAATGCTTCACCTTCAAAACTTTCAAAGGAAGAGTTAATACAGAGTATGGATCGTATAAATCGAGAAATTGCAAAAGTAGAACAGCAGATCCTTAAACTGAAAAAGAAACAAGTAAAAGTCTTTGCTTATAATATTCTAAGAATGTGTGTTTTTCTCCCTATAGAAGATATTTTTGAGTTTTCCATATTTTGAAACTGTACATAAAAGGAATCATGCCTTATATATTCTGGCTTGCTGTTTTTTGCTGCTATTGTGGTTTTCTTTCATTCATTCATTTTCCTTGCTGCACTGTCTGATCATATGATTGTAGAGAGTGAAATTTGTTTGTCCATTCTGTTTTTGATTTTTTTTTTCTATTCCATACAATGGTGCTGGTTTTTGGTTCACATGTAGAGATTTTCTAGGGCATGTGCCCAGGAATGGCAGTGCTTGGCCCAAGATTATGCACAGTGAACTATTTAATAGATGACACCAAATTTGCTAAGAAGTAACACCATTTTACATTCCCACTGGCAACTTACGTGGGTACTGGTTTGTGCACATTCTTGCCTTTACTTCATATCATTTTTTCATTTGGATATGAAATAGTCTTCTCTGTGGTTTGGAAGGAGGCTGAGCTTATTTTCATTTGTTTATGGGTTATTTGGGTTCCTTATGTGCATTGTTCATGTCTTTTGTCTATAGTCTCCTATTTTGTCATTGAAATTTTTAGGATTCCCTGAAGTCCCTTGTCAGGTATGTGTATAGAAGATTTGCCTAGTTTGTGGCCTGTCACTTCACTTTTAGCCCAGTATCCACTCTAAGTGTACACTAAGTGCATTTTTTTCCCCACATTTCGAGTCTCACTCTGTCACCCAGGCTGGAGTGCAGTGGTGCGATCTTGGCTCACTGCAACCTCTGCCTCCCAGGTTCAAGCGATTCTCCTGCAACAGCCTCCTGAGTATCTGGGACTATAGGTGCTATAAGTGCTTTTAATGTATTCATAAAGTTGTACAGCTATCACCACTCTCTAACTCTAGAAGATTTTTATCGTTTCAAAAAGAAATTCCATACTTACTAGCAGTTACTCCCCATTTCCCCCTTTCCCCAGCCTCTGGCAACCACTAGACTATTTTCTGTCTCTATGGACTAGCATGTGCCAAATATCAGAAAAAACAGAATCATATGTGACCTTTGGTGTTTGGCTTCATTTGTTTAGCATGTTGTCCTGATTCATCCATGTTGTATCTTGTCTCAGCACCTCATTGGTTTATATGCCTGAATCCCATTGTGTGAGTTTACTATGTTTTGTTTATCCATTCATTAGTTCATGGATATTGGAGTTGTGTTCATTTTTTGACTATGATTAATAATGTACTGTGATGAGATTCATGTACTCGTTTTGTGTGGATGTATTTTTGCAATTTTCTTTATATATCTAAGAGTGGGCATATGGTAAATCTATGTTTAAATTTTTTGAAAAACTTCAAAACTGTTTTCCAAAGTCTCTGTACCATTTTATATTCTTACCAGCAGTGTATGGAGGTTCCATTTTTTCCTACCTCCTTGCCAACATCTGTTATTTTCCTTTTTTTAAAAAAAAATAGCTATTCTTGTAGATGTGAAGTGGTATCTAGTTGTAGTTTTCATTTGCATATCCTTAATGACTAATGATGTTGAGCATCTTTTCATGTGCTGATTGGCCATTTGTATATCTTTTTAGAGAAATCTTCATTTAGATTGTTTGCTCATTTAATTGGGTTGTCTTTTTGTTATTCTAAGAATTCTTTATATATTCTGGACATTAGTTCTTCATCAGATGTATGACTTAATAGGTATTTTCTCTCATTCTGTGGGTTCTTTTCACTTTCCTGATAGTATCCTTTGATGTACAAAAGTTTTGAATTTTGTTGAAGTCCAGTTTGTTTTTTCCTTTTGTCACTCTTGCATTTGGTGTTGTATCTAAGACCCATTGCCTAATTCACGGTCACAGATTTATACCTATGTTTTCTTCTACAAATTTTATAGTTTTACCCCTTATATTTGGGTCTTTGATCCTGATAGTGTTTTTCTGGTGAACAGAATTTGTTTAGGTTTTATATGAAAACCCACTGGGGTTTATTAAGGTAGTTTTACTGTATTATTTGTAGAAGTTTTATAGTTTTGCTTCTCATCTTATTCTTAATCCACTGGAAACTACATATTGTATAGTCAGTGTTCATTTATATTTACTCAGATATTTGTCTTCTTAAGTGCTCACCATTTCTTCTCACAACTCAAGTCTTCCATCTAGGGGAACACCCTTCTACTGAAGAACATCTCTTAGAATTTCCTTTAGTGAAGGTCTCTTAGTTAGCAAATTCAGTATTTGTTTGTTTTTTATGACTTAAATATGTCTATATTTGGCCTGTTTATTAAAAGATATATTAATTTCATATGTGATTGTTTTTTCTTAGTACATTGTCTTCTTGCTTCCATTTTTAAGACATTAGCTCTTGGTCTAAGTCCGTATTCTTTCATGGATAAACTGAATGTTCTCTCTGCTTATTTTCAATATATTCTTTTCTTCAGGGTTCCATTATTTTTATGATGATACATTTAGGTGTTTTTTTTCGCCTTTTAAATCTGTCCAACTTGAGCTTCCTGAATATGAAGGGTGGAGTTTTTCATCACTTTGGGAAAATTCCAAGCCATTATCTTTTTTACAAAACCTTTCTAACGGTTTATTGTTCTACTTATGAAATCCTGTTAGTTGTAATATCACTCTTGTCTTCCATGTCTCTTGTTTCTTTCTTATTTTTTTACTTCTTTGGGCTTCATTCTAAGCAATTTCTTCAGCCTGTCTTCCAGTTTGCATCTTCCTTTTCAATTATATGTAATCTGCTGTCAAATCTGTCTTCAATTTCAACAATTATGTTTTTATTTCTGGAATTTCTGTTTGGCTCCTTCTCAAATCTGCCTGGTCATTTTTTAAAATGTTTTTTTGCTTTCATTGAGTTGTATTAAATTTTTATTATATACCCAACAATTCTAATGAAGTCTTTATTGGTTTGATTTTGCTGAGTCTCTTTTCTTTTGTCTTTATTTTCTTTACTTGTACAATGTTAATAATCTAGTAATAACACCAACTAAATCACATGATTGTTTTATGAATTGAGATAATGAATATATTGCATAATATATGGTACATAGTAAATGTACATGCAATCCATTATAATAATTAGAAATAATGAAATATAATGTATGATTATTAGGAAGTGTAGCAGAGCCACAAATTTTATTGAGCGATATAAAAGACAACTAGAGAAATATGCCATAGCTGGATGGAAACAGTAATAATAATGTTGTGTGTTCATCTTGGACTAAATCATGTCTCATACAATTTCAATAAAATTCCAATTAAATTTATTTTTAAAACATGGCAAATACATTGTAAAGTTAAAGTAAAAGAACAAACAGGGCCAGGCTCAGTGGCTCAAGCTGTAATCCCAGCACTTTGGGAGGCTGAGGCGGGCATATCACAAGGTCAGGAGATCGAGACCATCCTGGCTAACACGGTGAAACCCCATCTTTACCATAATACAAAAAATTAGCTGGGCGTGGTTGCAGGCGCCTGTAGTCCCAGCTACTCAGGAGTCTGAGGCAGGAGAATGGCGTGAACCCAGAAGGAGGAGCTTGTGGTGAGTGGAGATCACGCCACTGCACTCCAGCTTGAGCGACAGAGTGAGATTCCATCTCAAAAATAAAATATAAAAAGAAAAAGAATTTGTGTCTTGTTTCCTCATTAATGTTGGTTGAAAGCATGTTTGCACTTGTCTTTGGCTTGTGTTTTCTTAACATCGATTGGCATATTAAAAGTCCCTCTGAGCTTACCTTCTCTAAAAAAATGTAAGAAAAAAGGCCTGTGGGAAGGACTATGAGGCAGAGGGGCTGGTGTGAGCACATGCTGGGCAGGAGGAAAGAGGTAATGACCAGGTCCAGGGAAATCCCCAAATCCAGCAGGTCAGGGAGCCAAATGAAAGCCTTTCATCCTGTATTGGCCACCTAACCCCATCGACACTCAAAGTGAGCATTCTCTCTTAGAGATACTCATTGTCCTGTTTTTTCTGTAACCTTGCAAAGGAATCTGATTTCTCCCATTAGCCTTTCACAGGACAAAAATTTCACATTAGAATGCTATTCTTTAGAAGGCATCTTCTTAGATTAGGCTGCAAGGAGATTGAGGAAGTTACTATCAGTCACTTATACCCCACAGGGACATTAATTCACCAGAGCTTTGGTGGGGGAGTAGAGGAGCTCATTACAAGCAGGTCTGGATGCTGCACAGAGTGTAAAGGGGGCAGAAGGATCCAGGACACCTAGGCCTGGAGACAGCGCCAATGCTGGGAGGTACCGTTATTATCCCCATTTTACAGAGGAGGAAACAGACACAGGCAGGTAATGTGATCAAGACCACGCTGCCCCGCAGTACAGGAGCCAGGATCTAAACCCAGGCAGCCTGCCTTGCCATCAGAGCTCTCACCCATAACCTTGTGCTGCTATTAAGCAGGATTGCCCTGTGGCCAGGGGCACAGCTTCTGGGTTCACGTTCCAGCTTCTCTACCATTTCCAGCTGTGTGACCTTGGGCAAGTTAGTTGTCTGTGCTCAGTGTCCTCTGCATAGTGGGTGTAGCAATACCTGCCTCATGCAGTCCCTTAAGTGAGTTAACAGCTGTAACATGCTTAGAATGATGTCATGCCCATCATCACCATCCACTACATATGGGCCATCATGCCTGAATCCCAGATGGACACATATCCTTGAAGGGTCTAAAATCTAGGATCCTGAAATGCCTGGCAGTGGGATCCTGAAATCCTCTGGCAGCATTCTAACATATTTTGGCTGCAGAGTTGTACCCTGTTTCCCGGGGCTAGAAGGTGTGGGATCAGCTGTTTACTCAGTTCAGCCCCAAAGTAGGCAAAGAAGGTTTTGTCACAGGCTTGCCTGGGGCCCAGCCCCTGTAACCTCCCCTTGTTCCTCCCTTGCATGCTCCCTCACCCATGTTCACACATGTACTCCAGGCCTTCTGGGCCCCAAGGGAAGGAGAGAGGGTGGGGAGTGGGTTCACTGGTCCACCGAAGCATGCTGCCTTCAGCCCTGCTGCACTGGTGGGTCCAGGGAATGGGCCTGGAGCTGAAGGGGTCTTGCCCTCCCTTTAACTTTAAGCCTTGATTTGCAGTGATCCAAGAGCTTCATCTCTTCCTGTGAGCCTGTCTGGATGTTTATGTTGGATGGCACAGGCCCCTTCTGGCAGGGGTGCACAGGCCAGGGCCTGGCTGGCAGCCATAGCAGCTGAGGAGACTTTGGCAGACGAGAAGACCTTCTGCTTCAGCTTCAATGTATGAGTCTTCTCCTGGCTCTCAGTACATTCCTCCTGAGCCATGATGGGCCCCAGTTCAATGAAACCTTCTGTGGCAGCATCATGGTATCCAGGGGTATAATCTGGAGCATGTGCCAGTGCTACCCCAAGGTATGTGGTTGTAGGGCTGAATAGAGCCAGAAGGGCTGGATCTTGTACCTCTCTTCCATGTACCAGCCCCATCCTTCAATCATCTTGTTATTTTCATTTTGAATCCCTGTTTTATTCTGTCTTCTGAGCACCTATCCATTCATTTATCCATTCATCCATCTATTCATCCATCCATTCATCCCAGCATCAATCTATCAATCCATGCATCCATCCATTTATTTGTCTAACCACCCACCCATCTATCTGTCTATCATTTAGCATAAGGATTGATCAGAAGCCTCCTGGTTCTGGAGCCATAGACCAGACACCATGGGGAGACATGATGAAAAACAACATATGATTTGTGTGCTTGAAACAGAAGCTAATGAGTGCTTACCACCTGCCTGGCAGTCCTGCATTCAGGGTGCAGTTCTCCCCTCATCCTGAGCTTTTTGGTACCTTCTGTAGTTTCATTTTGTACTAGAGAATGCTGAGCCTCATAAAGTGGGGTCACACAGCTGCGTAGTGGAGTTTGGATTGGAGCTCAGATGTGTGTGATTTCGGCATCACCCTCTGCCTTGAGTCCGCCACTCCAGGGTCTCAGAGCCGCTGAGCATTCTGGGGTTGGTCAGCTCTAACCTTGGTGGCATGCATTGAGCAACTCTCCATATTTTGGAGTCTTAATGTATTCCTAGCCTTAGTGATGGCAAGGACCCTGCTTTGAGAGACCTGGGTTCTAGTTCCAGTCCTGTCCCAAATTTTCTGCGTGATCTTTGTCTTTCTGACACAAGCACCAATTTTCACAGCCTCATAGGGGTATTACAGAGGTCAGAGAAGATAAGAGATATACGAATATTAGTAGACTGTAGAGTGTTTTGTTTAGGTGAAGGGCTGTCAGGTCCTGACAACCCTCTGGAATGAACATGTCAGAAGTTGTAAACCTTCAATGCCCAGAGAGGTGGAGTGCCTCTTCCAAGGTCACATAGCTAGTCAGAGACAGACCTAGGGGAAAAAAATGAGAGAAACACAGATTCTCACTTGGGCTCTGTCTCTAACTGCCTGGGAGACTCCTCAAGCCCCTTCCCTCTCTAGGCCTCAGTTTCCTTGTTTTTACAATATGTGAGACAGGATGAGGGGATGGATGGGGAGGATATCTGGGGGCCCTGCTAGAACTCACCTCTAGGGCCCAGGCTTGGGAATCCCCAGAACCCCCATATTGTTCTTTACACCTGGGTGGCTGTGCTCAAGGGCTCAGGGAGGGTGAACTCTTGCGGCCCTGGACTCCCTAGCCCTTCCCCTTCTGTGGGCCCACCGTGGGCTGTCAGCGTGTTAGGTGCTGGAATGGTCTGAGCTGGTTTGTAGTCATTTCCGAGGCAGTTTTATGGCAACCTCACCTCTGTCCGTGCCATGTCCTGAGCAGAGGTCCTGGGGAGAAGTCCTGGAGGCCAGAGCCACCCATGTCACCACTAGCCACGGTAGTCCTCTTTCCTGTGAGGAGGCTGCACCCTGGGAGATGGCATTGGGTGGAATGGAGCATCAGTCCTGACCTCCCCGTTAAGCAGAGGTGGCTCTGGGACTGTGGGCAGAGATACTGGAGTGGCAGTGGGAAGCGAAGTGGAGGAGGAAATATTCCTGGCTACTAATGAGTCACAGTTGATAGACTCATGGCTTCATGTGCTTTGGAGGCAGTGTGGTGGGGTGCAGATGGCTTATGTTTTGGTGACCTACAGGCTTACATTCAAATAGCTGTTACCTCATGTTCCACGTCTGTGACCTTGGCAGGGGGAGCTCCTCAACCCCGAACCTTGCACAGCTGAGTGGGAGAAACCAGAGGGGTCTTTTGTTGTCAGGGACCTGGCATCATGCCTGGCACAGAGCACTTGCAAAATCTTCATTCTCAAGATTGGCATTTGTAGCTCTGGGGGATACACAGAGAGGTCTGTGTATGTATGGGCAGGTACATGTGGATAGGTGTGGGTCGGTTTGTGTGTGTGGGAGTGCATGTTTCAGGGACACAGGCTATCAAAGTCAGCACAAGGTGACTCCAATAAGGGAAGGGAAGAAAGCGTATGGTAAACCAGGAAGACACTCTAGAGATGAGGCTTCCTGCACCCCACATGATCTGTTGGTGCCTGTGCCATTGTAGCCTTCAGTGCTCATGCTTGTCCTACCCTCAGGGTCCTCCCCTGTCCTCCCCTGGATCTCAGTGCCTGGCTTGTGGAAAGCTTCAATAAATGGGGAAACATAAATATAAAGGAATATAACTAGCTAATTAGGGTAATTAAGTGAGGAGTAGCCATTTCCAACATGCATTAAGCTGTCCCTGATTTTTAGGGGCTGGAGGTCTAGTGAGAGAGACAATTTGCAGCATGATGGGGAGGAAGTAGAATTCACAGAGAAGGTGAGCTTGGCTTTGTAGGTTAAGTAGAAATTCACCAGGCAGAGAAGATGTAGGAAGATGCTCCAGGCAGAAGAGCAACAGGATCAAAGCCATGTGGTGAAAGAACAAGGCAAGTGGGTCAGCAATGCTACTAGAGGGGAACAAGTCAAGGTGGAAATGGAGGGGCCTTAGCTCCTCAGTGCCTGGGGTGTCATGCTAAGGAATTTGGATCTTACCCTTTAATCAAAGGGACAAGGGAGGGACATGTCCAGGTTTGCAGTTTGAGAAAATTGTCAGGCTGATACCTGGAAAGAGGAAGGTCTGGGACAGCGAGACCAATGGGAGGCTTCTCTGCTCAGGTGAGAGATGGTGGTCATCTGGATTAGGCAGAATTTGAACCCAAAGCTGTAGGAACTGAGAAGACAGTTCCAGTTTACCATATGAGGAGTACCTGCTGTGGCTGGCAGGGCACCAGCACTTCTACCCAGATTATCTCATTAAAATTCTAAAATAGACCTGGTCAGCTCTGGAAGCCACCTGGGCCTCAGGCATGAGAGAGGAGGAGGAATTGAGGCAAATCTAGTGGGTGGGTGCAGTTGGAGATGCTTAGCCTATTAGCAAAGATGGGACAGGAAAGTGGGGAGCAGGGAAAGGAGTGGCAGGGAGAGTGAGGCCTTTTCCTGCCTGGCTGCAGCCTTTACCCATAAGCCTCCCATTCCTCATTCCTGCCAGATCTGCTGGACCCAGGACCAGGACTCTGGTTGGTGTTGAAGGTTCTGTCTCCTCTGTGGGCCTCCCTCCCTCTGCTTCTTCCTTCTGAGGACTGCTCAATGTTCTGGCTAAACAGGAATCTGACTGCATACTCTCCTGCTGATAAATCTTCAAGGATGCCTCTGATTCTCGGCAAAGCCTGAGCTTCTTAGTTTTATGTTCTGGGGGTCTCCATTGTTTGATATCCCCTCCCCAGCTTCAACTCTGCCTGTTCCTCCTCATCAAAGTACCTGTATTTTAATATGCTACCTCCTCTCCTTTTCCTCCAAGATTTTCATAATTGTGGTTGTGATGATGATGATGATGATGGTGAGGATGGTGATGGTGAAGGTGGTGATAATGATAGTGATAGTTATGTTGAGGATGATGATGAGGATAGTGATGGTGATAATGTTGGTGATGGTGAGGAAGGTGATGGTGAAGGTGCTGATGATAGTGATAGTTATGCTGAGGATGATGATGATGATGGTGAGAATGGTGAAGGTGAGCATGGTGATGGTGATGATAAGGATGGTGATGGTAAGGTGATGATGATGAGGATGGTGATGGTGAAGGTGGTGATAATGATAGTGATAGTTATGCTGAGGATGAGGATGATAATGGTGAGAATGGTGAAGGTGAGCATGGTGATGGTGATGGTAAGGATGGTGATGAGGTGATAATGATGGTGATGGTCAGGATGGTGATGGTGAAAATGGTGGTGGTAATGAAGATGATGGTGATGGTGAGGATGGTATGCTGAAGGTGGTGATAGATACTGATAGTTATGGTGAGGATGCTGCTGCTGATGCTGGTGAGAATGGTGAGGGTGAGACTGATGATGATAATGAGGATGGTGATGGTGAGTATGGGGATGGTGATGGTGCACCCCTTGATTTGGCAATTTGACATCTAAGAATTGTTCATTTCTTCTAGGATTTTTTTGTGAGTCAAGACTTCCCTATGCTGCCCAGGCTGGCCATGAACTACTGGCCACGAGTGATCGTCCCACTTTGGCCTCCTGAGTAGCTGTGATTACAGGAATGAACCATGGTGCCTGGCTTTACCCTAGGAATTTATCCTGAGGAAATAATCAGACAAGTGTGCCAAGCGGTACTTAGAGAAGGGTATTTATTGTTGCATTGATGGTAGTAGGTAAGATGTGGGAAGAATGTAAATGTCCAGCAATAAGAGATTGGCTAAATAATTGTGCTACAGCTAGGCAAGGGGCTGGCTTATGGCCATTCAGAACACAGACCCTCCTGATTGAGTCAAATCTCCTGTCACTGCTCTCACACACCACACAGCTCCCTCCTTTTCAGCACAAATTACAATCATAATTTTACATTTCTTTGTGAACCTCTTTGATGACTTTCTGTATCCCTCATTAGATGCTAAGCTCCATGGAGGCAAGGAGTATACTATGTTCATTATTGTGTCCTCCATGCCAAGTTAAGTTCCTGGAACACAGTACACTCTCAATAATTTGTTGTTAAATGAATGACTGAATCTGTATTTCTTAGTATGGAAAGATGTTTGAAATATGCAATTAAGAGAAAGAGCACATCATAAAATAGCATGCATGCTGTAGTACACACTGCTAATTCCCTCCTTTCTTGATCTTCTTTGGGTGACCACTTGTGCACTCTCAGTCAATAAATTATGATTGATCCAAAGTCAATCATGACAATGCTATTCTCTACTGCTAGGGATGGTCATGAGATCAGGTTCTGGCCAATCTAAACACAGATTTCCAGACCTAAAGAGAAATCCTCTGGGGGTCACCGCTGAAGTTCCTGCTTTTCTAATAAGAATACAGAAGTGACTGCTTTTGCTGGCCTTGTAAACTCATGTAGTGGTTGGAGCTGCAGTAGCCGTCTTACAGCCATGAACTAAATTCCAATAGACTCACAAAGATGCTGGGCCTAACACTGTTGAACCAGTGAACCATAGCCAGGAACCATAGATACCCTAACTATGTAAGAAAAATGAACCTGTCTTTGTTTAAGTGACTGAACTTTCAGATTAATGCACTCCCAACAGATACAGAGCATGATCCCATATATACCTGTATGTGCAGATATGAATAGAAAAATTATTAAAGTGATTATCTCTGTGTGGTAGGATTCTCCTTCTTTTTTTATTTTATAAAGTTTTCCCAAAGGGCATGTAAATAATAATCAGACAAATATTTCTGTACATTCAGAAAATAAACAATGGTACTAATTTTATTTTTAAAAAATAAACAAACTATTGGGGCTCCAGAAGGTAGTTCACTACCATATGATAAGTTAATTAGCCACGACCGAGATGAACACTTGTGGGTATCCTGGAGGACAGGTTCTGCAGCAGTGAGAGGTCCCCTCCAGAACAGTATGTGGTTCCAAACTCCTGAGGGAGGCGGGGCAGACCCCAAGGAAGTAGATGAGAACCTGAGTGAGGCTCTGTGGGGAGAGAGGATGTTCCTCAGTCCTCACAAGGACATGTCAGTTTCACTTGAGATTAGGCCCCGGCCTTGGCTGGGCAGCCTGCCAGGCAGGTTCTCAGCAGCATGGGGTGATAACAGGAGGAGGGGAAGCCTGGCAAGCTGGGGCAGCTCTGGGGTTTTCAGGTGGGGCTGTCTCGGGCAGCAACTGTGTTGGCTGTAAACACAGATTTCCAGGAAGCAGAGTGTTGCAATCTCTCCCACCACAAACCTGGACCATCAGGGATGTTTCCATAGCAGCATCCATGCCAGTGAGAAATCTGGACATGATCTGTGATCCCCTCTCCCACTTTTCCTTTTCTCTTAGAATGGGACAGAGCAGCCTGGAGCAGCTAGTGTCCTGTAGTGACTCCAGTTTGCTGCTCTCTTCCTTATCTTCTTCCTCCTGCCCTCTGTCTCCTCTGCATCCTTCACCTTCTACATCAGGAAGCTCAAGTCACCGGGCTGAGCCAGGGCTTCTCATCTAAATCACGGAGTGCCAGTCAATGCCTCCCTTCCTCTTCCCAGGGAGCAACTTCAATCTTCCCTGCCGCCATGGGGAGCTAGACCCTGCTCCTTATTCCCTGTGGGACCATCCACAGCCTGTATCCTCACCCCTGTAATGGCACGACAGTCCTCCCTGCCCACTGACAGTGCTAATTCCAGGCCAGGGGAGCTCCTGGGAAAATCACCAGTGTGGGTGACACGGTGGGTGTTTGTGTGTGTGGAGGGGTGGGCTGCCACCTGGCCATTTACAGACCCCATCCTTCCTCTCTCCCTGCGCTTGTCGCATGTCAGGAATCCCTCTCCTTTGTGCCATGAAACACAAGGCATTTTCAGATCCATCATCTCATTGAGCCTTGCATCTCCTTGGTGAAGTTGGAGTTATCGTCACCATTTTACTGATGAGTAAAATGAGGCTCAGAAAGGGGAAAGTCACTGCCAGGGTTCCGCTGTGGACTTACAGCAGAGCTGGGATTAGGATGCGGGTTCTGGATTCCTTGTGGGGTCCTGGCCCATCTGCAGCTAAGGCCTGTCTTTCTGCTCCCATGAGGTCCTTTTTCCATTCCTTTCCTCCCCATGACAGCCACTGTCACCACCACCCAGGGTCTGTGCTCACTGTCACATCACCCCTCGCTGACCCCTGCATCTGGGCTGGAACCCGCCATGTCCATCAGACGGATTTTCCTCAATGGTGGTTGGGCTCCAAATCCACTCTTCCCAGACTGACACAAATTGCACTACAGGGGGCTGCAACTGTAGGCGTTTCTTGTCTAGAGAGAGATGGTCCCATAGAAATGTCAACATCACTTGGTGAAGAGGAGAGTGGAAACACAGGAGAAAGTTCAGGGAGTGACGTCAGGAGGAGGTGGCCCTTGAGTTGGGTCTTGAGGGATGTGTGAGAGTTACCAGGCAAGGAACGCTGGGAAGGGCATTCCAGGAGGAAAGAGCAGCATTCTCCAAGGCTCAGACTGGTCTGGTGGCTACAAGGTAGAGTTGGGTGACCTGGACCCCTTGAGACAGTGCTCCCTTTTCAGGAGGAAATCTGCAGTTCCCATACTTGGGCTGTCTCAGAGTCCCCCAGAGATCTTGGGAAATTCCTGGGTCCAGTTCCCAGGGATTCTGGTCCAGGAAGAGGAATCTGTACTTCTCACAGGCAGGGGCTGTGACCTCACCCCACAGTTCTGATGCAGTTGGTCTCCAGATCACTCTTGGAGAAATACAAGCAGGACTGAGAGGCTTTGACCTGTGCTCCTCACCTATTCTGGGCCCTTTTCCCGACTTGACTTTGGGTAGTGGGTGAATATAGGCCCCAGGTGGACATCAGGGCTCAGGTGGACATGCAGGCTCCAGGTGTATATCAGGCCCCAGGTATATACCATTTTCCTGGTACGTATTAGTAACCAAGGGGACACTGGACTCCAGGTGTACATCAGGCTCACAGGTAGACACCCAGGCCCCATATGGACACCAGCCTACAGGTGAGCATCAGGCTGCAGGAGGATACCCAGGCCTTAGGTAGATATCAGACCCTGTAAGGACACCAGGTCTCAGGTGGACATCAGGGCCCAATTGGGGACTCAGGTTCTAGGAAGACACCCAGGCCTCAAGTAGCATCAAGGCCAAGGCGGATACTAGACTCCAGGTGGACATCAGGCCCTAGTTGGACACTAGGCCCTAGGTGGACACCTGGGACCCTGGTGACCATCAGGCCCCAGATTAACTCCAGGCCTTAGGTGAACATCTGATCCCAGTTGGATATCAGACCCCAGGAGAACATCAGTCCCCAGGTGGATATCAGCTTCCAAGTTGACATCAGGCCACAAGTGGACACTGGACTTGAGGAGTACATCAGGCCTCAGATGGACACCCAGGCCCCAGGTGTACACCAGGCTCAGGTGGAAATAAAGGCACAGGTAACACCATGCCCTAGGTGGTTACCTAGGCTTCAGGTAGACATCAGACCCCAGGTGGTCATCAGGCCCTAGGTGGAAACTCAGGTCCCAGGTGCACATCACGCTCCAAGTGGACACCCAGGCCCCATGGTGATACCCAGGTTCCAGGTGGGCACTGGGCCCCAGATGAACACCAGGCTCCGGGTGGATACCAGAACCTGGGTGGACACCCAGCTCTGAGGTGGATATGGGCTCCAGGTGGACATCAAGCCTCAGGTAGATATCTAGTCCCCCGGTGGACATAAGGCCCCAGTTCGACACCAGACCCTGGGTGGATACCTAGGTCTCGGGTGGATGCATCTCCAGCTGAACATCAGGCTCCAGGTGGACACCCAGGCCCTAGGTGAACACTAGGTCTTAGGTGGACATTAGGCCCCAAGTGGACACCCAGGTCCCAGGTGGACACCCAGCCTTAACATGGACATCGGGCCCTAGGTAGACAGCAGGTTCAAGGTGCATATGAGGCTCCCGATAAACACCGGTCCCCAGGGAGACCCTTGTCCCCAGGTGAACAGCAGCACCCAGGAAGACATCCGCCTCCACCTGCACATCATTCCCCAGGTGTATACCTAGGCCCTATGGGAGCACCAGGCCCCAAGTGAGTACATAGATCCCTGGTGGCCATTAGGCACCAGGTTGACACCCAGGGCTTAAGTGGACATGAGGCGCCAGATGAATGCTAGCCCCCAGGTGGATAAATAGGCCCCAGGCATACATCAGGTGTGAGGTCTGTACTCAGTCTTCAGGTGGACACTAGGCCCCACGCAGACACCAGACCCCAGGTGGATACCAGGCCCTATGCAGACACCAGTCTGCAGGTGGACAGCAGGCCCCAAGAAGACGTTATGCCCTGGGTTGACACCTAGGCTTCAGGGGAACACTAGGCCACAAGTGGTCACCTATGCCCCAGGTGGACATCAAGCCTTAGTGGAATTCCCAGTCGCCAACTGAACATCAGGCCACAGGTGGCTGCCCAGGCCCTAGGTGAACACCAGGTCTCGCGTGGACATTAGGCCCCAGGTGGACAGCAAGCCCCAAGTGAATACCTAGGTTCCTGGTGAACATCAGGACCCAGGTGGCACCCAGGCCCTACACTCAGGCCAAAAGCAGAAATCAGAACATATGTGGACACTCGGGGCCCAGGTGGCTATCAGGCCCCAGGTTTATATCACTTTCCTGGTAGACATCAGTACCCAGGTAGATACTGGACTTCAGGTATACATCAGGTTCCTAGGTGGACACCCAGGCCCCAGGTGGACACCAGCCTACAAGTGGACATCAGACCATAGGAGGACACCTAGGCCCCAGATAGATATCAGACTCCAGAGGAACACCAGGCCTCAGGTGGACATCAGGTCCCAGGTTAATTCCAGACCCCAGATGGAACTCAGGCCCCACCTGGACACAAGTCCCTAGGTAGATACACAGGCCCTGTAGGCCCTGGGGAACATCAGGCCTTAGGTGAAGTTCTAGGCTACAGGTGGACATCTTGCTCCAGTTGGACATCTGGTCCCAAGTGGACATCAGTCTCCAGGTGGACACAAAGTCCCAAGTTGGACATCAGCCACCAGGAGGACTTTAGTCCTCTGGTGAACACCAGCTCCCAGGTTGACATCAGGCTACTAGTTGACACCTAGGGCCCAGATGGACATGTGGCCCCATATGAACACTAGTCCCCAGTCAGCTGGGGCCTGGGTCCACCTGGAGCCTGAGGCTTAGCTAGAGACTGGATATCCACCTGAGGCCAAGGTATCTACCCAGGGACTGGCGTCAAAGTGGGGCCTGATATCTACCTGGGGACTAGGTATCCACCTGGGGCTTGATGTCCACCTCGAGCCCAGATGACTTTCTGGAGTCTGATGTCCACCACAGGGCCTGGGTGTCCATCTGGGGCCTGGTGTTGATTTGGATTCCAGTGTCTACCTGGAACCTGGAGCCATGTTGTCCACTTGGAGCCTGGAGTTTTCACCTGGGGCCTGGTAGACATCTGGCCCCAGTAAACATCAGCCTGGGGCCTGGTTGTCCACTTAGAGCCTGGAGTTTTCACCTAGGGCCTGAAGATCCACTGGGACCCGGGTGTCCACCTGGGACATCAGGCTCCATGTATACACCCAGGCTCCAGGGTACAACAGGTCCCAAGAAAACTCCAGACCATATTAAACATCAAGTCTCAGGTGGATGCCCAGGCCCCATGTGTACACCAGGCCCCAGGTAGAGAGTGGACGCCAGCTGAACATCCGCCCCAAGGTTGACACCCATACTACAGGTGGATATGAGGCCCCAGGTGAATACCTATGCTTCAGATGTGCATCGGTCCCCAGGTGAATATAAGCCACAGATAGACATCAGGCCTCAGGTGCACATCTGGCTCCAGGTAAACATCAGGCCTTAGGTGGATACCCAGTCCCCAGGTGGACATCATAGACCAGGTTGACACAAAAAAATCCCAGTGGGTATCATGTCCCAGTGGACGTCCAGGCTCCAGGTAAACACCCCAGCCCCACTGTAACCATAACCACTGTAACGAGAAATGGTAGGTCTAAGTACCAACCATCATGCTCCTTGCTCACAAAAGGATGCTTAGATATTTTATTCAAAATACAACACCATTCATCACTCTGAGCAGCGATGTATAGAAAGGAAAAGAAAAATAAACCAGCCCTCAAGGAATCCATCCAAAATGAGGTAGATATTATAAGAGACAGAAATCCCCAAATGAAATGTTATAGTTGACATAGAATAGTCTTTAAAACCCATTAATTTTCTCGCACATTTGATACAAAGCATTATTTCTAGAGACTGAACCTAGAAAGAATTGCTTAAGACTAGGAGTCTTGTTCTGGCCTGGATCCCACACTGTTGAACATCTATACTTAGTACACCACATTATACATAGCACTGACATGACCTGTGTGCATTTAATTTTCTAATACTTGTTCATCTCTGGCATACTTCATATATATATATATAACATATGTAACATACATACATACAAGTACACACACACACACAAAAAGTATATAAGGTTAGGATAGTATAATTGTGCAGTAACGTTTCTTGTGAAAGTGGTGGAAAGTGGATTGGGTTGGCGACATGCTGGAATGTGCTTCCATTGGCAGAAGTAAGGCTTTCAAAACTAGTCGTTTTCATTTTTCTCTAGCAACTGGGAATATTAATAATCGAAGACGTGTTGGTATAAAAATAATCATAATAATCACAATGAAGTGGTGTTAATAATTATATCACAAGATATAATAGACATTATAGATATTATAAGATGTCAAAAAAAAGAAGATGCCATAAAATCTTTGAGATGATTTATACGTTAAATGCGGCCTCCTGTGCTGCCCTGGGGCGCCACTCTCGCTGGGTTCTTGGCAGTGCTCACCCTACTCCACCTGCTCAGCCCATGCTCCTGCGCCCCCAGAGTCACGCCATGGGAGCCAGGACCTTGCTGCGGCCCTAGACAAGGACAATGAGGAGGGGGTGCACGTGGAGTCCCCGCGGATAGGCTGGACGCCGGGCAGGAGCCTTTGCGGGGGTGCACAGCCTCCTCTGGAAGCCCTGGTTGCTGCCCGGTGCCTGCTGTGCCCTGCGAGCTCCGCGGTTGTGGAGCCAGGCCTGCACTGCCTGCTCTCGGCCCCGCCTGCGGACCCTCTGCCCTTTGTCTTGCCCCTGGGGCCCGGGGCCTCAGCTGGCCCAGGGTTCCTGAAGTTAGCTGACGATGGGCTGGCCTCTGGGACTGGGTCGTGGGCCTTGTGCACTGGCCGCCACGTCACCAGCGCCAGGCTTCCCCGCGGTGCTGCTGGAGATGCGGGATGCCCGGGCTCGGGCTCTGCTGGGTCCCCTGGCGCTGCGAACCCTGTCACCTTCTATCGCGGCCACCATGCTGCCCGCTGGTCAGCCCTGGTCTTCAGACTTCCTGGGACCCCTCCGGCACCAAGGAGGCATCACTCACAGCCGCTTGCGACACCGGGGCCGCCTGAACCTCCGCCAGGGCTGCGCCGCGCAAGTGGCTCCAGCCAGCCAGCCCTGGCCCATGAGCCGGACTTTCGGCTCCCCGAGATGATCGCCCTCGGCAGGGATACACGGCTATGGAGGAGGCAGCGGATACCTTCCAAAGTTTGTGGACACTCTTCTGCCACACCAAAAGTTTCACCATCAGCTGCGATGCCGACTCGGGCGCAGAGACCACTCCGGGATGTGGACCAGGCAGTGCCTTTGCTGGGCATCCGCAGTGCTGACCACCCCAAGTGCAGATCCCCACTTCGTGTTCCTCCTACTCCACATTCCACATCCAAAGTTCTCTCACCATTTCTAAGCAGGAGAAATCAAAAGAAACTGTAATCGGAAAGAAAGAGAGAGGGAGAGGGGGCAAGCTATGCGCCCAAAAAAAAGAAAAAAAAAAAAAAAAAAAAAAAAAAAAAAAAAAAAAAAAAAAAAAGAGCAAAACCTTTTGGAAAGCATAAAACGCCCCAAAGCCAAAAACTAATTCTTATCTCTTTTAAACCTTCTGTACTTCTCCAGTGATGAATGATTTATTTTTTTTTAACCACTGGCAATTCATAATTATTAACTTCTCTGGCATTAATGAATAGAAATTGAATCACATGTGGAAGTATAATTTGTATTATATGAAGCTTTTCATATTTTAAAAAATTTTTGTCCAGTTTTTCTCCATGGATTAACAATGGGAGATTTTCAACATTGCTGTGTTAATGTCTCCTGAGATAATTAGATGTGAATAATCTTTTATAAACAGAATTTCCTGGGTGGAATTTCTCATCTTCAGGAGCTCCATAAATAACCATGTCCCAAGAGAACTGTGAATTTGGGAACTACAAGAACTGAGTCCAAACTTGTCCAGCCTGGAAGCTTTTGGGTGATCGCTTTTGCAGGTGACTTCACTGCCTTCTGCTGAAAGGCCAGTGAGAGCCTGGGGGTTTCAACCTGCAAGAGCCTTACCATTTTAGGGTTAGCATTAACAATGAGGAAAAGGCATACTTTTTTGACATTCTCCGTATGTAATAAAATAGTTACCAAAACAAAGCAAAGTGTGAGTGGTGACTATTGAGAGGACCCTTTCTATCTTTGCTGGATTCCCAGAGATTTCTGGGTTTCTTTTCGAGTCAATAGTATTTCCATGTTAATTCTGAGCTCTTAAAACCCACAATATGAGTTGCAGCCAGTGACTAGAGTTGCAGCCAGTGACTAGAGTTGCAGCCAGTGACTAGTGTTGCAGCTTGTTAAACTGATCACTGGTGGCAGAGCCTTTTCGTTCTGCTCATTTCTTAAAAGGTCAGCTTGGTCAGAGATTAGTGCTACCCTGCCAGAAATAAGCAGTTAGGAATCAAGTAAAGGAGACAGCTAAAAGCGTAATTACTAAGTAGTGAGGTCATGGCTAGATGGTTGTTGATCTCATTTTCTCTCTGCTGCTGATTTCAAGGCTTTATACCACGTTTTGATGTAACATAGAATGTATGCTATGAGGGACAAATAGTCTGTTAGCTTCTTGGAGCTATACTCCGTTACTGGAGCAGGGGACAACAATTTGAAGGACATTACTACTTAGACAGTTTAATCTGCCTTTGGCTAGAATAAACTTCAAGTTCCAAGGGGTGGGTTCAGTTGTTATGCAAATTTAGATTGTTGCGGTAAAATTTCCAAAAAAATAAAAGGATAGGACTCTTTAGATGAAATAAGAATTTAACTGTATTTGAACCCTGTTGAAGGCCAGACAAGTTTAGGCAAAATCCCACGACTGAATACTCTGTGATGAGTCCCTTTAAATTCCAACGTATAATCTATGTTGGTAAATATGATACGTGCACTGGAAAAGGATGTGTATTCAGTAGTTGTTGAGTGTCGCGTTCTGTATATGTCAGTTTATGTCAAGTTTGTTCATTGTGTTCATCAAATCTCCCTTTCTCTTATGGATTTTTTTCTGTTGGTTCCATCGGTAATTGAAAGGTATGTTAAAATCTATATTGTAGATTAGTCCATTTTTCTTTTAGTCATATCAGTTTCTGTAGTAAATAATTTGAAGGGATATTTTATATTTATACATATTTAAAATTGGCATACTTTTCTAGTGACTGACATTGTAAAATCTTTTTTATCTTAGCAATATTTCTTTGCTTAAGTCTAAACTGTCAATAATAACATAGCAACATGAGCTTTGTGCTGATTAGTGTTTGCAGGCATGTTTTCCATTGTTTTACTTCCAAATGTCTGGAGTCTTGTATTCAGATAAATTAATTAAAACATAAAAAATAAATATAATATAAAACATTAAAAAGTAAATATTCTAAAAATCCAGCCAGAGATGTTTCACTTCTAATTGAAGTGTTTAGGACCACGGCTCTCACACTGTGTGCTAAGGTGCCCTGAGATGCTGTGTTTAACTGACAGGGGCACCAGCGGATAGCGTGTGAGTCTGTGTATGTGTGTGTGTATATTCGAGATGGGGGTCTCACTCTGTCCCCCAGACTGGAGTGGA